>NC_000004.12:110588047-110739562 GCF_000001405.40 Homo sapiens
GCCCACCGAGATTTCTGCCTCGAGGACCTTGCGGAGCAGCCACAGGCAGCCTCATGCGGGTGCCCAGCGTGCGGGACACGAGGCTTCTGCTCTTGGCGGGGTCCAGTGAACCCCAGGAAGGGCCTGGGCTGGGTGCCTGGGGCGAGGGTTGTTCTTGGCCTGGGACTTGGTCACGTCTCCATGGAAATATTGCTAATTGTTCCTTCACTTGAAAGACGAGACTGTAGACAAAATCTTTTTAAACCTTGACGGGCCTGTTACTCCCAAGAGCTTCTCTTCAAATTACTTGGAGAGAGAATGAACCATAAAATAATATTGCCTTCTTTCATATCCTTATATAATCATTTAATTTTTTAGAGCTTCTCTGCTTCTCTTACATGTGTGCTTTCAAGTAAATTAATCTAGATTATATTTTTTTATTAAAAATTCTTACCTCCTCATAGGAATGCTACATTGATGAATTAATATTTGCTAAGCACTTGGAAGGCGAAAACTACATAAAATTTGGTGGAATTACTCTATTATTATTGATACAGAAAAACAGTAACTTGATGGGACTGGTAACCGGGCTATTATTGTAAAAATGCTTTGCCTTTTCAGACAAAGTGGTGGAGTACAGAAATAATTATCCAGGTAATTCAAATTCCCCAGAAAATGCGGTCCTACTTGGAAGGAAAAGTGAATCTCCTCACTGATTTTGTTTTGTTCTTCTTTATTATTATTGTCACATTTAAGTTAATCACTTGTATAAATGTAATCACCTGGATAACTTTTCCATTTTGATTTCTCTTTCCTGTGATTTAAAATGAAGTAAGGCCAGATCTGCATTAACAAATTGAGAATTAAATAATACTTGTCCTTTTACAGCAGCCCCACTATTTTGATTTATATTCAGGTGTTGTAACAGCAATTTAAATACAAGTCCAATAATTTCAAATATCTTACATCTGTATGATTAGTTGCACAATATTTCTGACTAGTAGAGAGGAATAAGATTGATAATGTCTAATTTTTCTTAGGTATATGGTAACCAGAGCAAAGATAGGCATTATGGCTAAAATTAGATTTCCAGTTAAACTTACTTTCCCCAGAACACTTTTAATTATTAGGACAATTGCATTAATTCCCCTCTTTACTCTGCTAATGTCAACTTTGTCATAGGCCTCAACATCACATAGTACCAATAGTGTTTCAGAAATAATCTCAAGAGTTTTAGAAATAAATTACTTTTTCAACACAGAGTTTTTAAATGTAATGTTCTAAAATATCCAGTAAACAGCTGTAATCAACCATTATTAACTTTCCTGTTTTCAAGCACAGAAAACATTAAAATTTAATATCACAAAAGTAGGCCAGACCACTATCATCAACATAATAGTCATCATCACTTATAACATTTATTAAATTACTCAGTACAGGAGTGCCAGGAAATGAAATAATATTGTGACTTCACTAGAGGGAGCAATTCTTTTTAGTAAATTGTATTACTTAGTTCTATATATTTAGTCATCCTAGAGTGGATCTAGACATTTAACATAATTTGAGAATTAAAATGTGCAGAATTCATGAGAGATCTTATTGAAGATGTACTGTCATTTCAAGAGTTGTTTAGAGGTTTTCTTAAACTATCTGAGGAGAAAAACAGGGCTTGAAAACACAATATGGAATAAGTCCAAGGTAGTGATACTTTAGCTGAACATCTGTCAGCATTTCCATTTTGTTGTAATTTTCACACATTTGTACTTTTAGAGAAGAAATTACGGTCCGCTAAAATTGGTGCAGCATGTAATTCATTAAAAGTTCAACAACAATCACAGCAATAATAGTTAGTTTCCAAGCATCTGGTCATAAATGCAAATAAACTCCAGACTCAATTGAATAAAGATACTTATTGTAGTTAACCAATTAAGTGATAGATGTTCAGGCCTAGTCACATTTCTGCTATACATTTCTATTACTAGCTATTTATGACAACCTCAACAGTTCACTTAGATTTCCATCCTATTTGATATGTTTCATACTCTTGTTTTTGCCAGGAAAATGTTTTTAAGTAAAAATTAATATGGAATTAATACAATTAATAATATTGTTACAAGTATGACTAATTATATTGTTTTGATTAGATGTTAAATGTTAATGTTTAATGATATAGATTTGGCCTTTGAAAATAAAGTAAAATTTGAGTTATTATCATTGAATTAATGCCAAATCTAAAAATACAAAAGAAGCTAAATTTTCAAAAATTATGGTATTATTTTATTTTAAAAGTAATTCATTCAATACATATTTAGTGAATTTCTACCTAATGATGGATACTGTTAGGGTCTGAGGATACAAAGATAAGTAAAGATCCATCTAGGCTCACAATTTAATGATCCTTATAAAATATAATTGTTTTCTAATTAATTAATTCCATTTATGTTTTTAAAAACCTATGTTTTTAAAAGCTTCCTCAAGTCCTTTACTGAAAGGAGTAGCTTTTCTCCTTTTTTAATCACTGAGAAACCATGACAAGGGCTCAGAGGTTAAAGAAAGTTTTAGTCTTCCAGCATATGAGACACATTCAGAATATAAATTGTCAATTCCGTTTGTTCCAACTATTTACTACTATTCGTTTGTATGTCTATGGGTTAGATGTTCTTCAGACTGCATTTCCCAAACTTTTCCCTAAAACCCTTCTCAAAAACAAAAAAAATGCAATCTGAATACTTGTGCTACTGTATTGATGGTTTTGATCTTGATTTTACCTAGGAAGGCAGAAAGAGAGCAGGTAACTGATGAATCCCTGGTAATAGTGTATTCCACTTAAATCTATCTTCTTTCCTCATTATATCATCTAAAATATTTTATAGTCCCACAGTGTTATAACAGACTGAGTTAACCATAGGCTTTTGTGAAATATAATAATGTATCAAGGTTTCTGTGAAGTTATATTCCAAAATATTGAAATGCATATCGTTTGTTGCACTGATAGTGTCATTTCACATATTTTTGTACTGTGAATTAAAGTGTAAATATCAGAGCCACAAAGGGAAAACCATGACTGAAATATATTAGGGCTAAGGATTACACAGCAGAGATGGATTAATTTTCTTTTAAGTGAAGTACTGTGAAAACTAACTTTAAACTATGACAAAGAAAAGGAACATTGGATTTCATAAATGTTCTACATACTTATAATAATGAGAGATTTTCATATTGGCATGTAATTTATGGAGACAGTTGAGAAAACAGAAATCCATTCATTTTATACTTTAAAATTTATCTTCTTTTAAAATTATGTGAGGTTAGTTCCCATTATAGAAAATAAGTACATATCAATAAAAATTTTACTCCATATTGAAAAACATTCTGGCAACATTTTACTTAGTTTATGCTATAATATTCTTAAAACTAAATCTACAAACATAATGTTAAAGTGGCTTTAGAAGTTAGAAGCCCTAGCCCTTTCAAAAAAGGGAACTAAATACATTAAATTTTTTAGTATTTTAATATTTAACATTGAGTCATACATAGCCATCCAATATGAAAAGCAGGATCCTCCTATCATTATCAGAAATCTACTTTCTTATGCATTTTAGATTCTAAACTCAGACCAATTGAGTTTTTAGAGGAACTTAATTTAATTGCAGTATATATTGAAAATGAGAGTTCTCCATTCTCCTTAATGATGATTTGTATTACCTCATTTTACCATTGCAAGGAAAACGTATTTATACCTATTTGGAAATCCTTGGCCCTTGGCTTTTTGTGTATTTGCAGTTTATAAATGTTAATCCCAGTGGATCCCAGGGACTGGTAAAGGCTCATAGGCTAGGAAGGTACTTTATAAGAAGTGAAAAAAACAGACTTTCCCTTTCAGTTATAAAGCAAATAATTTAAAAACTTTGAGCTAGAATCTAAACACCTTAGCATAGTAACTAAGGTTTTGAAAGGCAATTATACATAATACATGAATGTTTTTATGCATATTTTGCTTTATTTTTTTTCTACTTAATCTATATTGTTAAGATAAAACAAAAAGAAAGCTGATGGACAAATAAGGCTTAGCCTGAAGGAGCAATGATAAGAAAAAGTCCTGAACATAAGATTTTTTTCAAGACAGCAATGGAAGAATGGGCTTTTATATGGGCCAGGCTCTTGGGGGAAGAGCTCAGAACACTGGGGCTCTATAATGTCAAAAAAAGTTTACTTCGGACTTAAAGTCAGCATTTTCATATAAGTTATTCTACTGAAAATAGGATTAATGTCTTAATTACTTTGAAAAATGAAACTATTAACAAAATATTTTACAATTACCAGGCTCTTCATCTTCAGTGCACAATAGATAACACATAAATGTTTGTATAACGTTTATATATATTCTACATAAATGTTAAACCCAGTTTCTATGTGGTAAAACTAAGAAGATTCTTAATTTCAAAGACAACTGGTAAAAGACTATGGCTTTATTTTCCACATTTCTATTTAAGGAAATATTATTACATTAGGCAAAATTATTGATATGCTTTGGTTCTGTGTCCCCACCCAAATTTCATGTCTAATTGTAATTCCCACATGTTGAAGGAAGGGCCGGGTGGGAGGTGATAGAATCATAGGGGTGGACTTCCCCCTTGCTGTTCTTGTGATGAAGTTCTCAGGAAATCTGGTTCTTTGAAAGTGTGTAGCACCTCCCTGATCACTCTCTTCCTCCTGCTCTGCCATGGTAAGATGTGCTTGCCTCCCCTTCATTTTCTGCCATGATTGTAGGTTTCCTGAGGTCTCCTAGTCATACTTCCTGTTAAGCCTGTAGAACTGTGAGTCAATTAAACCTCTTTTTTTCATAAATTACCCAGTCTCAGGTAGTTCTTTATAGCAGTATGAGAATGGACTAATTCAATTATCTAATAAAGAGTATTGCAGATATATTGCTGTTCTTATATTATCCCTACAATAATTTCTAAGTTGTTTTTAAGAATTAGGGCATGAACTCATCTTCTCTCATTCTTTTTATTATTCAAGAAAAAATAAAAAACAACTATGTCTTTTAAGGGACCCAAAATTGTGAGTATTACATAGAAAATTAAGAATTTAACATCCTGCCAGGGGCTGAGTGCGGTGGCTCACATCTGTAATCCCAGTATTTTGGGAGGCTGAGGCCGGCAAATTCCTTGTGCTCAGGAGTTCGAGACCAGCCTGGGCAAAGTGGTAAAACCCTGTCTCAAAAAATAAATAAATAAATAAAATTTAAAAAAATTCGCCAGGTGCCGTGGCTCATGCCTGTAATCCCAGCACTTTGGGAAGTCGAGGTGGGCAGATCACGAGGTCAGGAGATCGAGATCATCCTGGCTAACACAGTGAAACCCTGTCTCTACTAAAAATACAAAAAATTAGCCGGGCGTGGTGGCCGGCGCCTGTAGTCCCAGCTACTCGGGAGGCTGAGGCAGGAGAATGGCGTGAACCCAGGAGGTGGAGGTTGCAGTGAGCCGAGATGGCGCCACTGCACTCCAGCCTGGGAGACAGAGCAAGACTCTGTCTCAAAAAAAAAAATTAACTGGGCATGGTGGCGCATACCTGATGCCTGTAGTCCCAGCTATAGGCTGAGGCAGGAGGTTGGCTTGAATCTAGGAGGTGGAGGTTGCAGTGAACCGAGATTGTGCCACTGCACTCCAGCATGGGTGACAGAGAGAAACCCTGTCTCAAAAAAAAAAAAAAAAATCCTGTCAGGAATGGTGGTTTATGCCTGTAATCCCAACACTTTGGAAGGCCGAGGCAGGAGGATATCTTCAGCTTAGAAATTCAAGACAAGCCTGAGCAATGTAGTGACCTCATCTCTGCAAAAAATTAAAAATTAGCTGGTGTGGTGGCATGTGCTTGTAGCCCAGCCACTCAGGAGGCTAAGGTGGGAGGATCGCTTGTGCCCAAGAGTTCAAGGCTGCAGTGAGCCATGATTGTGCCACTGCACTCCAGCCTGGGTGACAGAGCAAGACAAGAAGGGGAAGAGGAAGAGGAAGAGGAAGAAGAAGAAGAAGAGGAAGAAGAAGAAGAAGAAGAAGAAGAAGAAGAAGAAGAAGAAGGAGAAGAAGAAGAAGAAGAAGAAGAAGAAGAAGAAGAAGAAGAAGAAGAAGAAGAAGAAGGAGAAGGAGAAGAAGAAGAAAAAGAAGAAGAAGAAGAAGAATTGTGTAATTATGGTTTACTGACTGAAAGTTTAACACATGTATGGCATATAATGGACCCTCCTGATAAGCCTCAAACAGTATTAAATAAATGATTCTCAGTAAATGATTTGTGCTTATCTTCTTTGTACTATGTGATATGCAAGTTAGCTTTAGATTTTAGAAATCATTCTAACCCAGAGTGTTTTTACTTTAAAATGAAGCCAAAGCTGAATCTGAATCTTAGCTTCAAGAAATACATTTATCCTGGAGAAGCCTTGAAAAAAAGTCTTTAGACCAAATACTAATGAGAGGTATCTTCCTCTGTAGTGGTCTTTCGGTCTTTCTACTTCATATCTAGATCCTGGTGTTAACTGGGAAAACACTTAAATAACATTCCATGGATCTGCAGAAAGTTCACTGTGTCACCTAAGATGGTATTCTAAGTACTTTGGAGCTTTGGGTAAGGGAATGCCTCTAAATTTGCTGGTTTATTGCAGAAAACTAAGTGTATCTTAGATCAAATGGGAAAGCAGCCTCATGGCCATTTTGTATAGTTTATTCAACATTCCAGTCTAGGATTTTTCTGAACTACCTTTTTCATAGGTGGTAATCCTGCCTATGTTTCAATGTTTCCAATGTGGAAGTCATTATTTTGTTAAAGAATTTGAAGCATCAAAAAATGCTTCCATATATTTTGTTGAGATCTACCATTCTACAACATTTAGCCTTTTGTTATTTTTCTCCCCTTTGAAGAAACACAGGATATGCAGAATATATGTATTATTTCTTCCCTGCACTACTGCTTTACATACATGTATAGATACCATGTAATTCCTTAGTCTACTCAAGGTTAAACATCACCAGTTGACTGAAGCACTCCTTATGTTATATTTTGTTGTTTTCACTATCTTGATAGTACTTTAGTACTCTCAATATCTTTACCAATGTCTGTCATACTATACGACTCAAGCTATAAACAATATCCTACATTAGTGTAAGTCTAGAAGTGGATTATTAATAGATGATATGAAACCTTTATTCAATTGATGTAGCCAAAAAACACATAACATTTTTAAACAGTCTTACCATTGCCTCATGTTGAGATTGCTGCATAACAAATTATCCCATAACTTAGCCTGGTGTCATGGTGCATGTCTGTAGTCACAGCTATTTGGGAGGCTGATGTGGGAGGATCACTTGAGCCCAGGAGTTCAAGGCTGTAGTTTGCTACAATCGTGCCTGTGAATAGCCACTGCACCCCAGCTTGGGCAACATAGTGAGACCTTATGTCTAAAAATAAATAAAAAATAATTTAGAAATGTAGTGGCTGAGAACAACAATAAACATTTATTATCTCACACAGTTTCTATGGCTCAGGAATTTGGGAACAGCTTGGCTGGGTGATTCTGGTTCAGTGTCTCTCATGAGATTGTGGTTGATGTTTCAGCTGGGGCTACAATCCTCTGAAAGCTGTCTGAGGCTGAAGGTCTGCTTCTAAGATGGCTCTCTCACAAGGCTGTCAAGTTCATTCTAGCTCAGTTTCTTACCAATGAAATTCTCCATAGGACTGCATGAGTATCTTCATGACATGATATGACGGTTGTCTTCTCCCAGAATGAGTGATCTGAGACAGAGAGAAAGTGAGAGTTCCAAGCCACAATATCTATGTGCTAGCCTTTGAAATCACACATTGTCATTAACAAAATACACCATTGGTGCACAGGTCAGCTCTATTCAGTATGGGAGGCAGCTACACAGTAGCTTGAGTATCAGAAAGCAGGGATTATTTGGAGGTCATCTTGGAGGCTGGCACTAGAGTCTAACCTCTATCCCTCAATGACTAACCTCCATCCCACATGCAAAGAATACTTACATATTCTCAAGGCCATCAAAAATCTCGTTCCACAGTGAGAACACATGGACACAGGAAGGGGAACATCACACTCTGGGGACCGTTGTGGGGTTGGGGGAGGGGGGAGGGATAGCTTTAGGAGATATACCTAATGCTAAATGACGAGTTAATGGGTGCAACACACCAGCATGGCACATGTATACATATGTAACTAACCTGCACATTGTGCACATGTACCCTAAAACTTAAAGTATAATAATAATCAAATAAAATAAAATAAAAATAAAAATAAAATAAAATGTAAGATGCATGATGAAAAAAAAAATCTTGTTCCATTACAGCATCATCTCAAATCCTACAATCTTGCTGTCCCAAACAGACTTAGATGTGAATAAGGCTTTTTGAGTGTGGTTCCTCGAGTATAGTTCCTTGAGTAAAATTCCTTGATCTGAAGATCTGTGAACTAAAGAGCTAAAAAGTATGCTCTTCTTTACCCACATACACACCCAACATACAATGATGGGACATAAATAAGATAACCACTATAGACACTCCCGTTCAAAGTGTGGAAAACAAAAGGCATATAAGAGTCACTGATCCATAGCAATTTTGAAATCTATCTAGGCAAATATTGAATGCTCTTCACTAGTACTCATTCCTACTGCTTCTTGGGAATGATTTTCTATGACTTTGGCTTAGACCTTTGAAGTTTTGGTTTTACCTTCAGAGCCAAATTATTTTTCCATGAAAAGTAGCCTAGATTTGCAGCTGTATATTTTTCCTAGTCTGGTTCCTGCCTGTAGGAATTTGGAGGTACAAAAGCCTCTTTTCTTTTGTTCTCTTCAGTCCAAACTGTTGATGTTTCTAACAGTTAAATACTCTGAAAAACTTTGTGAGTCTCCTGTGAATCTTACTGGAGTTAATTCCATTATACAAAAGCCACACCTGCAAATCTGTTTGAGATAAGCTCTGCTCTACTTAAAGCCTGTGGTGAGATTATTCTTAAGCTTCTCTGAAGCTCTAATGTGACTTGATGGTTCTCTGAAGTACAACCTTAGATATTTCTAAGGTCTTAGCAAAGTATTTTATAACCACATCCTCAGCTTCATTTTTACACCATGGTTGTCTGACATCTGGCAATGTCTAAGTTTGGTCTTTGTCCAGAAGCCATTTCTTTATTTTAGCATTGTTTCCCATCTTGAGAGGCTAGCAATTTTCAAGGCCAACAAGTCTCAGCTTCTTGTGGTTTGATAATCTGTCCTTTAGCTTATTTTCTTCTTTGTCACATTTTACTATAAACAACAAGAAGAAACCAAGCAGCACCTTCCAAACTCTGACTGGAAGTTTTTTACCTAGATCATCCATTTTATTAGATACAATTTCCAGTTCCACAGTATTGCAGGTAATTGTATTGCTTAACTTTCTGCCACTATATTAAAACTATCCCCTTTTCCTCCAGTTTCTGATAATGTTTTCCTCAGCAGAAGCCTCCTCAGAGATGTCAGGCTTATTAATAATAGTCTATTGAAGACATTTTCAGCTTCCACTAACACTCTCTTCAACATCTTTCAGTTTCTGCCATTGCCTAATTCCAGTGCCTCTCCTATATACTTAAAATGTGTTAAAATGGCAGCAACTCACTTCCAAATATATTAGTTATCTATTCATGTGTAGCAAATAACCACAAAACTTGATGACTCAAAACAACAATAATGACTTATTATCTCATTCCTGAATTTGACAGCTGCTTAGCTAAATGGTTCAGGGTGTCTCATGAGGTTGAATTCAAGATATTGGCTGAAATTGCAGCATCAAAAAATTTGACCATGGCTGTAAATTCTGCTTCCAAGATGCTCCCTCACATGGCTGTTAAGTTCATGCTGGCTGTTGACAGACAGCCTCAGTTCCTTACCACATGGACATCTCCTTAGGGCTGTCTGTGTGTCCTCATAACATGGCAGCTACCTCCAGAGACAGTGATCAAAAAGAAAGCAAGGCAAAAGTTGCTGTATATTTTATGTGCTATCCTTGAATGGCACACATCGTTATTTCCACAATATTCTATTAGCTACATAGGGAAACTTCATTCATTGAAGGGGGGGTGGGGCATGACATTGCAGGAGAACGTTAATTATAGGAGCCTGGAATCATTGAGGCCATTGTGGAGGCTGGCTACCATATTCACTGAAGTCTCTAATAATTTAATTTTGAGATACTTCATCCCTTTAGGTATTAATTGATTTTTTGAAACCTAAACTGTACCCCTATGTATCATTAAGTTTTTATTGTAGTTTTAGTTCTGTATTTCAACCTCTTCAGATTTTTTTGAATTTTACTTCTGTCATATCAACAACACTCTTGAGCTTTGAATTATTAAGCATGCTAAGTTATAAAATTTTTGAAATCCAACTTATTAATAAAAATGTTGCTAAACACTTGTGTCTCCAGGCCTACATACACTTACAAAGTTCATAAAATAAGTACATATATCTTTACCTGCACTATTATAGAAATGACACACACACTAAATTCACTTTTTTTTGTTAGATATAAATAGGAGTCCAGTTCCCCCATGCACTATGATAATATAGTATACTAAGCAGTGGGCAACTCCAGGTTCACCAGGAACTCTAATATATTTTTTTAAAGGCTGGATTAATTATACTGACAAAAACCTTAAGAAGTGAGTACTAAAGATTATAAGTTCTAAATTTTCTAATTTGGAAAACTGAAACTTATAATCGAATTGCTAGAGTTGTACACAAAATACTAGCCTCTGGCAAAATTATGAGGTAGGATAAAGTCATCAAGAATACAGACAATGTTGTTGTTTTCTCCCCTTAGATTTAGCAAGGTGCCTTATTTCCAGTAGATCATTAACAAATATTTCTTAATTGATGAACTTGTTAATCAGTTATTGACAGATTATGCCCTGAAGTCTCTTGGTATCTGTATTAGTCAGTTTTCACACTGCTGATACAGACATACCCAACACTGGGTAATTTACAAAAGAAGGAGGTTTAATGGACTTACAGTTCCACGTTGCTGGGGAGGTCTCACAATCAAGGCAGAAGGTAAGGAGGAACAAGTCACGTCTTACATGGATGGCAGCAGGCAAAGAGAGAAAGAGCTTGTGCAGGGAAACTCCTCTTTTTAAAACCATCAGATCTCATGAGACTTATTCACTATCATGAGAACAGCATTGGAAAGAATTGCCCCCATGATTCAGTTACCTCCTACCAAGTCCTTCCCACAATACGTTGGAATTCAAGATGAGATCTGGGTGGGGACACAGCCAAACCATGTCAGTATCCAATTCCTCCTTCCCCAGGGAACCTTCCCTTGGCACCCTAAAAATGCCCCCCAGTGTTCCAAACTGAGAGTATTTTTAAATCTCCAACTATACAATCAAACTTTGACTAATTCTGATAAGGAAGAAGTTGGACATTCTAATAAAATTTAGGGAACATTTGTTGTCAATGCCTTAATCTATAATAGACTATCTAATGGTGTAGATTTCCTGATAAAGTTGACAAATAAATGAAAAGTTTGAGGCAAGCTTCTGGCTGCCTTGCAAACCATAACAATTGTCATTTCTTGATCTCTCAGTAAGGTCAATCTTAGATGAACATGTTGATTGTTTCATTCTTTACCAAACGTCTGGGCTTCCTGATGCTGGAATTCCAAAACTTTATTTCTTTTATAGCTGCCTTGCCATGAGTGATTCCCTTTCTTGTTCATCCAACTTAAGAAACTCCTCTTCAAATAAATAGCATTTCTGAGTTTTGTTAATAACATTCAGTCAGTCACATAAATTCAAAAACTTGAAGTTACTTGTTCTTTCTCTAAACCCTCTCATCCATTATTTGGTGGTCTTCCTCAGCTTTGTCTTCTTTTTTTCTCTACCATAATCCCAGTTTAAACCCTTTAGTTTACTTCTTGTTGCAGTTCATCTGGCCACATATTCTTGCCCCATTAACTCACTAAAGCACAGCCTCTTTCCATTTATTCACTGCTCAGAAACCCCAATGGAAATCCCATCTCCTCACTGCCTACACAATAAACTCTAAACTTCTTAGCCTAGTTTTCTATGTCTGCCACATTCTAGTCACAGTTTAGCGTTCCAGACTTATCTTCCACTATTACTTCACACTGGATTATTCTTGGTTCACCAAACTCATCCCACATCTACCATCAAGTCTTCATTTTTTTTCTTTTCTTCTTTTTTTGTTTGAGACAGGGTCTCACTCTGTTGCCCAGGCTGGAGTGCACTGTTGTGATCTCGGTTCACTGCAATCTCCGCCTCCCAGGCTCAAGTGATCCTCTCACCTCAGTCTCCAGAGTAGCTGGGATTGGAGGCACACCAACACACCCAGCTAATTTTTGTATTTTTTGTAGAGACGGAGTTTCACCACGTTGCCCAGGCTGGTCTCAAACTCCTGGGCTCAAGTGATCTTTCCACCTCAGCCTCCCAAAGTGCTAGGATTATAGGAGTGAACCACTGTGCCAGGCCTATTATCAAGACTTTACTATGCTTTTTACTCTGCCTGAAATGATTTTCTGATGCTTTTATTAAAACCCTGCCTGGCCGGGCATGGTGGCTCATGCCTGTAATCCCAGCACTTTGGGAGACCGAGGCAGGCAGAGCAAGAGGTCAGGAGATCGTGACCATCCTGGCTAACATGGTGAAACTCCGTCTCTACTAAAAATACAAAAATTAGCTGGGCATGGTGGCGGGTGCCTGTAGTCCCAGCTACTCGGGAGGCTGAGGCAGGAGAATGGCGTGAACCCAGGAGGCGGAGGTTGCAGTGAGCCTAGATGGTGCCACTGCACTCCAGCCTGGGAGACAGAGCGAGACTCTATCTCAAAAAAAATAAAAATAAAAAATAAAACCCTGCCCATCTTTCAAAGCCAAAATCAAAAGAAATCTCAAACATGATGCCTTGATCCTCCCAGCTAGAAGTATTCTCAATCCTTTCTGAAAGTCTATCATACTTTGTACCACTCCTAAGGTATTCACTGAATTCTAACATAAATTTCAGTTATTTGCCTACACGATTTATCTCTTCTTGTGTATTTTAAGCATCCTGAGAGCACAGGTTATCATTCTATGCATAGTAGTTAACACATCTGCCTTACTTAAAAGTGGTTCTTCCTGAGTTGGAATCATCATGAAATGAGTTGGCTAAGTATTATACATTGGTTTGGGGGTGCTGGGTAGGAGCACAGTATAGTGTGGTTAAGAGAAAAACCTTTAGAGGTCAAATGATCCCAGATTTAAATTCAATTTTACCAGTTACTAACTGAATGATCTTGGACAAATTAATTAATCTCTTGGTACCTTAAGTTCCTCATTGGTAAAATGGGAATAACAATGCCTATTTCATAGATTTGTTGTCAGAATTAAATGAGATATAAATTAGGTACAAAACACTTTTTTTTTTTTTGAGACAGTGTTTTGCTCTGTCGCCCAGGCTGGAGTGCAATGGCGTGATCACAGTTCACTGAAGACTTGACATCCCAGGCTCATGTGATCCTCCCACCTCAGCCTCCAGAGTAAGGAATGCACCACCATGCCTTGCTAATTTTTGTAGAGATTCAGTTTTGCCATGTTGTCCAGGTTGGTCTTGACCTCCTGGGCTCAAGCGATCCGCCTGCCTCAGCCTCCCCAAGTGCTGGATTTACAGGTGTGAGCCACCACACTTTGCCAAAACACTTACCTTAATAAATAATTATTTTCTTATCCTCTATTGTGCCTAGCACAGAGCCTTGTAATAGTGCTCAACAACTTTTTATTAAACAATTTAGAAAACAAAAACATATTATTAATTTTGATACATCTTAAATATGCACTTGTATTTAACAATTAAGAAAAATCTTAGATATAACAGAGAGGATAGAAATGGCAGAGTAGAGTAAGGAAATAAGATGTTGCTTTTTTTTAAGTGAGTGGGAAGAAATTTAATTTTTGACACAGACTGTGTCATCGTCTTAACAACAGAATATGCTGGGAATTCCTTAATATTTTCTAATGGGAAAACTGGAAAAAGCCAATTACCTACTGTTAGTTCTAATAGTTCACATCTTAAATTACATATAAAAATGTTTAAATACTGAAGTTTATGGGAGGCCTGGGCAGGCTTCAGATTCTCAGCCATTGGGGAATTTTTGTGCCGGACCACCCACTGCGAAAGTGAAAAGTTGGTACCTTTGCCAGTGTGGATATCTCTTCAGAGGAGTGCTCTAGGCTACTGTAACCATTTCCCCCAGGAAGACTAAGAGGGGAAAAAGTACATGAGAAATTACTGGACAAACACTGTTTGTCCAAGTTTCAAAGTAATAACCAAAGCTGGAATTAATGCCCTTAACATCACCACTCTCCCTAACCTAAATCTGTTTACATAGATTTAGGCTGACTTGTTTTGAGTCTGCTTCTTGTGGGGACACAAACTTATATGAATAAAGCTAGAATTTCAAGGCAAGTCACGCTATTTAGTTATAGTTTGTTTCAATTTTTTTGTTTATTTTTAATCATCTTTCTCAAAATTGTCTTTAGAAACAAGTCATTCAAGCAATTTATATTTGAAATTCCATTACATTTTTGGGGGATAAACTTATAAAAGCAAAAGAGACATCCAAATAGTGGTAGGTTAAACCTGGAGAAGGTATGGAAAGGTGCACCTAATCTTTACTCATAACGTTTACATTTTGTAAAGACTAATATTTAACATCTTTTATTTTAAAGATATCATCTCATCTATAATTAGGAACAGTGTGAAAATCTAGTGTCTTGGACTAATGTAGAGCAGCTGTTTATGAAAGTGCCTGAAACATAATAGATCTCCAATAAATATTATTGTGTTGGCGAAAAAGCTTAACAGGTGTGGGTGTGTATACACAACTCTCCTTCCTCACCCCCTCAATAATTCCCAGGCAGTGTTTGTAGAGGGCCACTAGAAGATGAAATTTTTCTACTTACACATGAACATCTGAGGATTCCAAAAGACTATCCCAAATCCTGACTTCAAAGGCACTTTATTTGCTCTCTGGGGGAGAGATTATTTATGGGGGAGGGAGGGAACACTAGTCTACTGAATCAGGAAGTCTTTTCCAAGTGACAGAAACCCAATTTGAACCACTTTAGGCAAAACAGGAAATATGCTGACCAGAGTAGCAAAATCTCAGGAAGGGCATTTAACTGGACCTCCAGGATCATAGTAACAGACAGGAGAGACAGCAGGACTCTCTCTCCCTCCAACTCTCATCCGTGCTTCTCTCTGAGTCTGTGTTACCAGAGACTGAAATCTTCTGCCCTGGAGAACCTGGGCTTTTGACAACTCATCTCTTCATCATGAAAAGGACTGCTTCTCTTTTCAAAATTATCATTTGAAGATTCCTGTGGAAGGACACAAAAGGCAGCCAAGCTCACGTGCCTACTCTTGTGGACACAAGAGATCAGTTCTAGAATTGGCAGCATCCATTAGAACAATATAGCACAAATAAAGAGAAGAACGGGTTCCCCCCAAAGAGGACAGTTCTGTTTCCAGAAAGGGGGGAGGAGCTGGGCAGACAAAATAAGTGTTTCTAAGATTATATTTTTAAAAACCATAACTATATTTACTAAATGTGAAATAAAGATGTCTTTTTCAGTTGCTTTCGATTTTCCATAAAATGTTTTTCTTTGCCTTCTAGTGTTTATCTCATCTTTCTTCTGGCGCAAATGCTTTTCTTACACAGCATCACCAAGTCCTATCCCTTCCTTCCTCCAAATCTGCACTTAATATTTACTTCCTTGGACTTCAGGTAAAATTTGGTGAATTGACTACATTTGTTTCTCTCTGTTTTCCCCAGAGTGCTATGAAAGTGGCAACAGAAAAGAAAAAATAAATAAATCCCCAAGTGCAGAGGAGGAGAGAGACCATAATAGATGAAAAGTGATGAAAAATTTGGGAATATAGAATGTAGGTGGTGTATTAACTATTACAAAGCAACAGATTACCCCAAAATTTAGCACCTTAAAACAATAAATATTTGTTATCTCATCCCAGTTTTGAGGTTGAAGAATCTCACAGCAGTTTAGCTAGGTAGTTCTAGCTCAGAGACTCTCAGGAGGTTGCATTTAAGTTGTTTTCTGGGGCTGCCATTATTTGAAGAGCTGGAGAATCTGCTTCCAAGCTCACTCACATGGCTGTTGGCAGGAGGTTTCAATTTCTCACCATAAAGCTGCTCATGAAATGCTAATTACAATGGAAAAAGCATAATGTTAATAGAGAAGCAAATAAATAACTTTTAAACATTAAAGTAATGAAGCAGATACCACCTTAAGTAATGAATTAACATAATCAAGTATTGAAAAATCACTATGTGTGCCTCCTGATATGACGCAGTAAGAACATTGCAGCACTATGATATCCTGAATATCATAAAAAATATATAATCTGAATCTAATCATGCAAAAATAGCTCAAAGGGCAAGCTGTGAGATGCTATAAAATTACTGATCTCTAATCTTCAAACGTGTTAAGTTCATAAAAGTGTGTTAGGTGCTTTGATATGGTCATGGAAACACACAGGAGGGGCACGTTGACCTAACCTAATGCCAGAGTGTCAGGGAGGCCTTTCTCAAAGTAGGGACATCTAAGCTGAGATCTGAAGTTAGCCTCAAAAAGGGTCAATGGGGGTGGAGAGAAGCAAGAAAGGAGTGAACAGGTCATAATGTACAAGACCAAGGAAAAAAATCACTTGATCTTATGCCAACTGATATGTGTGTATGTATATATATGTATATATACACAAACATACATACGTATATATGTGTATATTTTTGTATTTATATGTGTATATATATAAAGGAGGTATGTGTATACATATGTGTGTGTGTATATATCCTTTCCTTAATATCAGCAAGTTGGCTGCTTTTCCTATCATGTCTAAAATGTCACATGTCAAACTGCCTTGACAAGTTGTCCATTGCTTTAGTGTAGGAAATGTGCACTGAAACACACGTGAAAGAGTAAAACATCTTTACCTTTGATTGGCTCAGTTACTATAATCTCTATCTTTTTCAATCACTACTCATAAGATAACTAGGAAATACTATTTTCATAACACTTTTAATTTATAAGTAATATTTTCTAATCACATCAGCAGAAAGTGATACAGAAGACTAGCAGTTCTTTGGTCCTGTCATATTGTGCCTAACTTGAGTCCTATTCTAGTTTTGACTCTGACACTCATTACTCAGGCAGCCTGAGGCAAGTTACTTCTGAGAATCAGTTTTCTTATCTGTCAAATAAGGAAATAATATTATCTACTTTATAGGATTGCTGTGAGAACTGATTGAGATAATATTAACATATCAAAGGCACTGGCGCAGTTCCTGGCTCATAGAAAGTACTCAACAAACTATCTTCTGCATCACTGTATATTGTTATATTTAGAGATGGTTATGAATAAAATAAAGGTAAAAAATGTTAAGAGTACTGTGAAAGCCTGGGTGCGGTGGCTCACGCCTGTAATCCTAGCACTTTGGGAAGCCGAGGCAGGCGGATCCCCTGAGGTCAGGAGTTCAAGACCAGACTCAACATGGAGAAATCCTGTTTCTACTAAAAATACAAAATTAGCCGGGAGTGGTGGTACATGCCTGTAATCCCAGCTATTTGGGAGGCTGAGGCATGAGAATTGCTTGAACCTGGGAGGCGGAGGTTGCGGTGAGCAGAGATCATGCCATTGCACTCCAGCCTGGGCAACAAGAGCGAAGCTCTGTCTCAAAAAAAAAAAAAAAAAAAGAGTACTGTGAAAATAATATTGACCCATTGCTTTATGAGAGTGTAGATAATTTTTAAAATTATAGTGACTGAGACAACCAAAGATAATGTGTCAAATCTGTTACCTTTTTGTGAGTTCCCAGTCATCTTCCCCCTTGGTTTCTGGAATCTCCAGCCATCTACCCTTCCCTGCAGTGCTGACCAGGACTAGTGGTTTTCCACTAGAGACTGGGGTCTTTGAAAGTTCTGCAGGCATTGCAAAACCCACTGCATCAAAATTCATTAAAATTTCTCTACCATTCCAGTCCCTATCATTTTATTTATTTGTTTGTTTATATATGTATTATTTATTTATTTAGCACAATGAGGTGAAACTTTTTTTTTTTTTGGTATATATTAAGAGTTACCAAATGTTCCATGGATGTTTCATCAAAGGTAACACCATTCTTCCCACTGTTTGCAGTGAAGTGTGTCTAGTTTGTTGTTTAGGTAACAGCTGGAAAGTAGAAGTGGATATGGTCAGTGTTCTAAGGAATATTCTACCACCCAGAAATTCATCAAAAATATGTGAGGCCTACTGGACAAAAATGAGCAGAAATAAAAATAACTGTAACTTATTTGGTCTGTGACCCTAATCAAAGTCTGATTGGGTTAAGTATTTTTTTTTTTTTTTTTTTTTTGACAGAGTCTTTCTCTGTTTCCCAGGCTGGAGTGCAATGGCAATATCTTGGCTCACTGCAAACTCCACCTCCCAGGTTCAAGCAATTCTCCTGCCTCAGCTTCCCAAGTAGCTGGGATTACAGGTGCCCACAACCACTCCTGGCTAATTTTTGTATTTTTATTTATATATATATATATATATATATATATATATTTATTTATTTATTATACTTTAAGTTCTAGGGTACATGTGCACAACGTGCAGGTTTGTTACATATGTATACATGTGCCATGTTGGTGTGCTGCACCCATTAACTCATCATTTACATTAGGTATATCTCCTAATGCTATCCCTTCCCCCTACCCCCACCCCACAACAGGCCCCAGTGTGTGATGTTCCCCTTCCTGTGTCCAGGTGTTCTCATTGTTCAATTCCCACCTATGAGTGAGAACATGTGGTGTTTGGTTTTTTGTCCTTGCGATAGTTTGCTGAGAATGATAGTTTCCAGCTCCATCCATGTCCCTACAAACAACATTAACTCATCATTTTTTATGGCTGCATAGTATTCCATGGTGTATATGTGCCACATTTTCTTAATCCAGTCTATCATTGTTGGACATTTGGGTTGGTTCTAAGTCTTTACTATCGTGAATAGTGCCACAATAAACATACCTGTGCATATGTCTTTATAGCAGCATGATTTATATTCCTTTGGGTATATACCCAGTAATGGGATGGCTGGGTCAAACGGTATTTCTAGCTCTAGATCCCTGAGGAATCACCACACTGTCTTCCACTAAATTTTTGTATTTTTAATAGAGATGGGGTTTTGCCATGTTGGCCAGGCTGGTCTCAAACCACTGACATCAGGTGATCCACCCACCTCAGCCTCCCAAAGTGCTGGGATTACAGGCATGAGTCACCACACCCAGCCTGGGTTAAATCTTTTTTTGTTGTTTTTGGATCAATATTTTTAATTTCTTAGGTTTTTATGTCTCTAAGAATTAAAAAAAACTTTGTCCATAATATATTTTGATACAATATATTTTACTACAAATTGTGAGCAGTGAAATTTTAAAAAGCATAAAGTAAGGGAGAATTGGACATCATAATCCCTTAACTAGTAAAATGACTCTAGACAATCGTGAGCTGGAAACTTCTGTCATCTACGTGTCTCCCACCCTTTTATACTCCCCTTACCACACATATTCCCCAAACTAGATTTTTTAAAACTTCTTTATTTTAATAATATATTAGGAAATACTAAAATGTGTTCAGTATCTTATGAACCCTGATCATGATTCACCATCCTAAAACTGCTCTGATGTAGGGAAGATGCTGGCAGTGTTGAAAAACATTATGACAGAATTTCTGCTAAAGAATTCTTTTACATGTCTAGTTTGTTTGGAAAAGGATTAGAAATTAATTAGAATTAATCTGAGATTCAATTTATGCCAATTCAATAGACTTTAATGTTTTTGAACTTTTATTTTTGTGAACAAAGATTTTAATTGTAACATTTGATCAATAGGCATTTATTGAACATCTACTCCGTTACAAGGTATTGTGCCAGGCCACCACAAGAAGCTAAAAAAAAAAAAAGACCCGCAAAATCTTAACTCATAATAAAACACCCCATATGGTAATTGCCAAAGGAGTAATATGGATGAAAGTTAGTTTGGGAGTATGGGAACAATAATTGCTCAGAAATAAAATGAAAAAGTAAAAAGGGAGAGAGTTATGAGATTTAGAATTAACCTTTAAGTGAGATTTTGGAAGAAGTTAGAAAGGAAAAGAAGGAACCAAAGGAGGGTGAAATGGGGCAGCCCTTCTGTGGAATAAAAGATGTTTCAACCAAGTTCTAATCTAATGAGTTGCAGGATGACAATGAAGGTGTTTCTCAACTGTACAAGGAAGAGAAATCACATTAAAATACTGCCGAGCCAATAAAAAGAGGATATAACACAAGAAAAACAAATGCATTTGTGTGAAAGATATGTAAAGTTTAGTACATCAACTTTATAAACTGTTTCAGTGTTTTCTTGGAACACACAAATTTGACAATGTGTGTGAGTCCACAGATGGTAGTTTCAGGAGAGGAGGAGCTTTCAAGGTGAGAATGGCAAACTGGAGATTTCCCACTTTGGTGGCCATAATGCCAATGGTCATATTGCCTGGGCGAAAGAAGCCTGCTCACTCACTCTCCCAGCCTCTCCAGCATGCAGTGGGGCTTTATTAAAGAGTGTGCACAGTCCTTTTTGTGCTCTGAAAAGACAAGCTATACAATATTGCATGCTTTACTTATTCTACCAGAAACTTGTATTGTTCATAGAAGTACTCCATATTCATACGTACAAATGGTTTACAGGTAGACTCTTGACTGAATAAAATAATGTATCATACCTGGAAAAGTGAACACTACAAACAATCTGAAGCCTTAATTCAAAAGAAAGGATAAGCAGGGCATAATCCAGGAGCAGCCAAAATTCTGGGGAGAGTCACCTGATGTAGAAGAAGGGCAATAATAAAAGGAGGAAATGAAGAAGGTAGAAAATAAAGGGAAGGTAAAGAAAAGGAATGGAGAGAGACTTCAATTTCTCTCATCCATGAAGCTGTGTTGACAGCTATTCCTAATCCAGCATTCTCTGACAAGGCATTTTGTATAAATGTGGTGTCCAGCAGAGACTTTGTGTTGCCAGGCTGCTCCAGCCACTGTGGCCTCATCCTCTCTCCACCTCCATGGTGGCACCCCACCCAGATTCCTTTCTTGTCAAACTTGTTTCCAGTCACCCAAGCCCTCTAGTCTGTGACCTCTTGGTCAAACTGTCTGTTACCCAGGACACAAATAGATCGAGGGTGTCAGATAACATGGTAATTTGGTGGGGGAGAAGAGGGTTTGAGTGAACACTGCAATACCCTTTAGAATACTCCTTTCCCCAACTACTCAAACCCTTAAAAGTAAATGCCCTTTCTCCACCTATGTTTCTCTGTCTCTAAGTCACTGAAAAGCAACTGAGCGTGTGATTCATACTTCTTTGTATTTATTTGCTTCGATGCATTCATTGTCTCTCTAGAGCTAACTTAGTGGAACATTTGAGTCAATTCTATTTTTCTTGGGAGAGTGGAATAACATAAAGTTGGGTGCTGACGAAGTTGATCTGTATTGCTCTGTAGGAATGACATAGAGCATTGTGTGCACTGCAGTTAGAGCAGCGACACTACATGAAGTGATGAACACTCTGTAACCACATCTTAAACAGAAAGCCATTTTCTCTGAGAACGAACTGATTGGTGATGTCCAATTAATACACATACACAGCACTTGTCACATTGTTGATGCCTGCTGAGACTCTGGAAAGCCTTGTTTACTGCATGTCTCCGCTGCCACCCTCCATCCCCTGCCAGAAATTCTCAGGATCACTATACAGGCTGTGAACACACTGAAGCAGGAGCAGTGGCCTTTGAAGAAGCTAGGATGTGACCTTGAGAGTAATGCAACGATGCAGCGTTCTCAGCAGACATGCACACCAGCACAGCCACTTTCTCACACCCCTAAGTATAGAGATTTGAGTGAATGCTCTCAGCAAAACTTCTGTTCCAATAAACAAGTCAGAGGTAGGGTCCAGGTTGAGGCGGAGTGTGCCATCTGTTCAAAATATATATATATATATATATATATATAGTGTGTGTATATATATATACAGATACACACACACTAAGAGGTTATAATGAGTCAGGCATGCATTTAAATAAAACTATTTTGTATAAGAAAAAAAGAATCTTCTTAAGAGGTACAGGAATTGCTCTGCAGGTTGGCTGGCAATTCCTGAAAGCCCTAATAATATCACATCTCCCTTTTGCTTGCACCCACCTTATCTCAGATTTTTCTTCAATGGGGGCGGGGGACGGGGGGAACAGAGGTTAGGCAGAGGGAGAGAGACAGAGATACAGAAACAGAATCATCTTCCTATTCAGGAATTTGCTCAGTGCCTGAGTCAGTAATGTTTCCAGGTGAGGGCACAGGAACTTAGGATGTGCACTGTCTTGAATTCTTCCTTCAGCTCTGTTATCTTTTGGTAAATTCTGTATATTTTGACTGGGCACGTGGGCCTAGCACATAAGTCAGTGCAGACGTATCATTTTACTTTCCATTACTTATGTGTAAAGAAAAAACAAATAGGTCAGAGTCGGAAGGAGGCAGGGTCCAGACCAGTTGTGGGTGGGATCGGATAGGAGCCTAGGACTTCAGCGCGACCTCAAGCCAGGACTTCTGCGAGGTCTCAGGTCCGAGGGCCAGGTCGGGCGCCGGTTGCACCGCCCACCGCGCGCCTCCCCTTCGTCCCCAGGCCCTGGTCCGGGGCTCTTGCTGCCACTCCCAACCCACTGAGCCCTGCCTCCTGGGATCCCACCCCGGGCGCCAGGGATGGCAGCAGAGCGACCTTTCTCGGCCCTGTGGACAGCCGCTCCTCCTAGACTCCAGCTTTCCCCCACTAACTTTTATAAGAGATGAAAAGCTGTTCACACGTTCTCAAGTGTGAAAGAAAAGGAAATTCTCTTGTGTTAGAAGCCCTGAACCTCAAACTCCGCAAGGAGAACGGTTGACTCAGTCACCCCCCTTCCTCCAGTCCCTCATTTGTCCTCCGCTTCCTGCGGCTGAACGGTCCTTGATAAGTGGCCTCCAGAAGATTCGGTACTTTGGGCCAGGGGCAAGGCTGGGGCTGCTCTAGGTGCAGAACTCTCTATAGGTCCTCTCTCCCAGGACCGGATAGATGATTCATTTTTATACGTAACGTTTTACCCCAGTCTATTCCCGCAGCTGGTTAATGTTCAACCCCCGGGCCTCGAGAGGCAGCTCCAAGGAGGCAGGCAGGCATGACCCATTCAAGGTATATGGCTGCTCGGGAGTGAAGGCGCGGAGGCCCGAGAAAGGGTGAGAAGGGATGTGGCGGGGGGCTCCTCCGGCCCTGGACTCCCTGGGTGGACTAGAAAAGGGCAAAGAAGTGGTCACATCTGTGGGCCAGACTGGTGCGCGATCTTTGGAGGCGCAGCAGCAAGGCCGCGCCAGGGCTGAGCCCAGACCGCCCACGAGGAGGCCCGCCAGGCCCGGAGCAGCGGCGCGTGCGGGGGCGTGCCGAGCGCAGGCTCTAGGGCCCCTGCTTCGCCCCAGCTGGACCCCGCGGGCGGTCGGTGCAGCTCGAGCGTGTGGGCTGCGATGCCCTGCCTGAGACTTCGGGCTAGGGATGCGGGCGGGAAGTGGGGGTGCGGCGGCAGCTGCAGATTAGATTCCTTTTTTTTTTGGCCGGAGGGACGTGCAAACTTCTAGTGCCCGGGCCAAGAGGGCGACCCCGGAGGTGCGTAGGTGGCCCTCCGGGTTCCCGCTTCTCCTAGTGCCTCTGAAAATACCGTCAGGGTAAAGGGAGACAGGCAGTAAGTCTTACCACCACCGCCCTTTCCCCATGTCATTGGCCAAAAACTGAACATTAAGATAAAGCAGCTGTTTCAGTCAATGGAAAGCGGTAGGGCGAGGTTGTACCCAAAACCCGGTTTAGACGGCCAATGAAGTCCTAGGAAAAGCCGCCCCGGGGGCACGTTCAGGTGGAGCGGCTGCACCTCGGGTCGTTCTAAGGGATGGGCTGCGTGGTACCCACGGAATTCATGGGTCCAAAAGGTCCTGGTCACCTGTCCAAACATCCATCCCCTGGCGCATGGCGGTTGACAAGATGGCCCGGCCACCCAGAGGAAGGAGGATCCGGGACGGGGAACTTCGCGCCGGGAAGCTGTAGCCCAGAGCTGCAGCTCAGCATTCGCAAGAGATTCATCTTTTTTTTCTCTCGTGTTCGGAGAAACAGATAAACAAGACACCGCCTCATCAGATAAGAACGTCTCCTTCGATGTCACGGATTTCAAGAGGTAGCTGGAGAAACTGACGTCAGGAGTGTCCTGTGAATGAACATCGCCCGAGGCCTAGCACCCACAGAAGAAGGGTTCTATTTTACTCTACTTTGCTTGATATTATTTATTTTCTAACAAAGTGATCCGTAGTCTGCAACCTTAGGCTCTGACAGGCAAAGCCCATTTCTTAGCTCTGGGGATGGCTTGCAGGGTCTCCACCTCTGTCCACTTTGGTGTCCTCTTTCTCCCTTCGGCTCCCCACCTCCATCCCCCGAGCCCACACACAGCGGGGTGAAGCTGTCGGGGAGACTCGTGGGCAACCAAATGCAGGCACCCTCTGAAGAGACGCCGAGAAGGCCCTGCATTCGATCCGGGAGGACATAGAAAGATGCCATGAAGTTCTATTGGGTGCAGCAAGCCGTTCCCCACGCACACTCCCCGTGATACCTGCCCAGAGAAGCAGAAGCAGTTTCGAGGGCTGTTGACACAGGCAGAGCGGGGAAACGCGCCCAAGAATTGGGCTGCCACTGGTATGGGTCCCAAGTCACATTCAATAAGCTGCCCACCGCTTTCTGGGGGACAGCAGTGGTGGTTCTAGGTCTCATCTTTCCAGAGCGACGAGGATAAAAGTTCCTGCCCAGGACTGTGTGCGAGGGGGTCCCGCACTGCTGCAAACTCTCAGCGGAGGCAGAGAGGCTTTGCTGTTTCTGGAGAGAGGAAGCATTGGCAGAGGCAGTCTCCGGGCTGTGAGGAATCCACCCTCATGCCTTAGTGTGGGTACGTCAGGTCCCAGCATCAGCGGGCCATTTCCTCAGTTGCATGAATGGAGGAAAAACCAAACCAAACCAAACCAAACCAAACCAAACCAAACCAAACCAAACCTTGGCTGTGGACAAAGAAAACAGGAGAGGGAGAGGATGGAGGAGAAAAAGAGCACGAGGGAGGGCAAACACCTTAAACATTTTTTGCCGTAAGACTAGAAGAACTAGGTCTGGAAAGATCCATCAAAGTCCCAGGGTGCAGACACACACCCTGCCCAGGGAGAGCCCAGTGAGTCTGAACTTCTCTTAGTCCTTCTGAAGGAAGGAAATTTAAAAAGCACCTCTCACTACCACCAAAAAGTAAACACTTTTACCATGTAGTCATTACATGTTTTTGAATTTTTTTAATTGTAAGGAATTTAGATGGCTCTTATAGCCATTCTTCTGCAGAGTAACTTAAGCTTCAAATAGCTCCTGTTTTCCACAACTACCACTGAACTGTAGAAATGTATTGTTACAAAAGGAGTAGAAATGACTTTTAAAGGTAATTAAGTATAATTAAATATATCTTCAGGGGGTATTTCATTTCTTGCAGGATTCTCTACTCTTCAAAAAAATCTAAAATCAACATTTACATTTTAAAAATGCATAAAATACTCAGCACAGAAGTGAATGAAGTTATGCATCCCAAACACAGTAAATTCTGCTTTCTATCTTTTCAGATAGACAGTCAACAATGGGAAGTCCTCCCTTTGGGGAGGGGGCAGGGAAGGGTGGGAGGGGCCAAGTGTGATAAATTTTTAAGATTAGAGTAAAATTTCCCTGGGTTCATCTGCTAGAACCTGAAAAGGTAAATCAGTTACGTGTTTACAATGGTGTTTCTACTTAACCCCCTTAAAAAAAAAAACTCGAATTACCATTTTCTCAAGTTCAGTTAATGAAATGTTTGGGAACCTGGGGAAGAAAAGCTATTTTTAAAAAAATTCCTTCTGAAAATCTGCTACCAGAAATTCCTCTCGTTTACTTCCAGACTTCTTCAGTCAACCACGTTTCTTGCTTCCCGGTGTGCTTAGATTAACTGCAGTTCCTCAGGGGGTTTATAAATCAATCAATAGGGAGTCTATATTCATAAAGGCCTCTGATCTAATTACACCCCCTCCTTTTTTCCCCCTCTCTAAAAAAGTTAAGTCGCGGAGCCAGGGACTCCCAGGGTAGCTCCGTCCACTAAGGGCGGCTGGAGGCTGGGGAGTCCCGGCGACGGCGGCGGGGGCATCCGTGGATTAGGATGTGGATTGCAGGACAGACCTTTGTTTGGTCACATTCGCGACAGGGATTGGGGGAAGGGTCGTCCTCCTTCGAGATCACGCTGGATTTTTATAGACTCGCCTTAAAAGGGCTCACTCTTCACAGGGTTAATTTATACGGCTTTCGAGGAATATTAGGACTTTTAAGACGCTGTTTATATTGTCCCATTAATTTTTTTGTTACACTCCTAACCCCCACCCCTACACCCCCCGGCTTCAGCATCTAATAGAAAGGGGGTGGGGGTGAGGGAAAAAGCAGGGCAAGGAGGCGAAGAGAATTTGCCTTCTAATCAAACTACTTACTCGGCCCAGGCTCTCCAACATGTTTTTAAAAATTAAATTTCTAACCAAGTCGTAAACACTAAAACTCAGATTTAGGAATTGGGAGGAAGGAGAGACAATCATGGGCTGTATACACCTTTTCCCAGGTCTCCACTAATCTGAAATCGGTATTAGCGGAATGAAGACTTTGGGGCCTTGGAAATTTTTAAAGAGGTTTACTTTTTTTTTTTTTTTTTAATAAAACAAAACCCGAGGATAGGCCAAAGATACCGAGAGAAGAAAAGGTGCCTGCTAGTAACAGGTGAGGGATGGAAGGGGGTGGCGGGGAGAAAGCCCCCAGACGGCGGATCGTCTGCGCGGGGTTCCTGCCCCAGGCCTGGCGAACCTCTGAGCGCTCAAGGAGCACGGCGGCAGTGCGCTGAGGCCAGTGAGGCCTGGGCGCCTCCGGGCCCAACCTCGAGCTCGCCATTTTTGAACCCAAGCGGGGAAGGTTGGTGCTCATGCTATAGATTATGTTAAAGGTTCCTTTAAGCACTTTAATACACAACTAGCTCAGAAATCATTAAGAGACCTAGAGAAGGAGAAAAAATACCCTCACACTCACCGGTAATAAGTGTTGACATGCAGCAAAAATCGGTTGAGTGGAACCGAGGTGGTGGTTGCAGCGACGGCTAGAGGGGGACCCGTGCAGGGGCGGGAGGGGCGAGGGGACTGACTGCACCGGCTCTGGGAGCTAGGTTTCTCTCGCTGGATGGGAAAAGGAGGTGCGGAAAGGGGCAGGCGGCCTGCGGGCTAGCGGGGATGAGAGTTGTGGGGAGAACGGAGGAGAGAGTAAAATTATTCCTTTTGGAAGTCCAAGGGAAGGGAGCTGAGGTGAGAGAAATGGCCTCTCTTAGGTCCCAAGTCTCCGCCCCCAGCCTGCACCACTCAAGTCGGGGAAGTGACAACTCTTCCTAAACCTCGACTTCCATTTTTTGTTTCCTGCAGATTGATTGATGTCCTCGCGTTGTTCTAGTTCAGCAACCAAACTAGGCCGAGGTACACCTCTTTTACCCAGAGCTCCCAAATCACTCACCAACCTGCAGGAGACCTAAATCCTCCGGGCAGGTCTCGTTAGCGCTTCCAGCCCCCATCCCCAAATCCCCTCTTCTAGCTCCTTCCTTCCCCTCCGCCCTTTGGCCCTCCCCGCCCCCTACCAGGCTGAGAGGCGGAGAGGCCGGGACCGCTGGGCCCTGCGGCTCCAGAAGCCAAAGTCCGCCCGTGGGGACCGTTTTCCTCTCCACTGCTCTCAAGTGAACAACATGGTGGGAGGTGACCCTCGTCCAAAGGGCTTTTATCTGCCCCCCACTGCTGCGTGATCCCTCCGCAAGTCGGAGGCAGAGCTTTAAAAAGAAAGAAAGTGTGCGTTGAGCACTGATCTTAAATCGGGGACATTATCTGCGATCTCTTTAAGTGGCAGCAGCAGTTTCTTGCAGAACAAAGACTCAGTGTTCGAGCTCCAAAAGCTTCTAGGTAAAGTTTCATTCAGATGAAAGCAACTAAGGCGAAAAAACAATGATATTGTCGGCTCCAGAAAATCGGCGGTTACTTTTTGCTCTAAGTTCCCCAGCGTGGTGTTTGTTCTCGCCCACTTTGGTTGTGCGGGGGGTTGACAAGCATAACAAAAGATCTCAGCACATCCCTCCCCCCACCTCCACAACGACCCTCCTAGCGCCATGAGGATGAATTCTCTGGGACTAAGTGGTATTTGTTTCTATTTGTTATGAAATCAAATTTCACATTTTTTTAAAGCTGAAAATCGCGGATAAAGAAGGATCGGGTGCTTAAAGTTCATTTAAACACTCACACCGAACTCATTCCCTGTTTAGATGTCAGAGGATGGCAGGGAGGGCCAGGGCTGTAATTCATCTTGATTTGCTTCATTGTCCTGCAGTTTGCAAACTATAATCCTGTATAATTTCAGGAACAAGCAGGTTTAGAATTAATGGGTCAATATTATTTAAAACAAAACACCGGGAGCATGACCTTTGCCTCAACTACATATTGCTCGACAAGACTCAGGAAACTCCACTCTAACCTCTCAACCCCTGAGTTCTTTGAGAAACTGAAGGGCTGTAGTTATTAGAAATCATCTTTGTTTCTTTTAATGTCTCCAAAGGATTTGGAAATAGTAATGCAATATAACATGAAGGATCTCTCTACTTAAGCCTGAAGATAAACGTGGAAGCCTAAATATTTTGAACTGGAGATGTTTCCCTGTAAATTTATTATAGATGTATTCCTCCTGAGAGAAATGCATATAAACTATACATGTATACATGCACAAATATTTCTCCAGAACAATTTGCTAGAGGTGTAGGTTTCCCCGTAAAGGAGTAAACTTGAGAGTCATTTTAAGCTGATGGACTTGCTAAATTTCTTTCTTCTTTTTTCTTTTTCATATTATTTGCTAGCCATAATGGAATCCTCTAGGTTTAAGCCAAAGAAAAATTGGAGAGACAAAATTAGATTTTGTAGCCCTTTTCCCCCCCGGGAATGCCTTTTTTTTTCTTTTTAGTTTCTGATGAATGGCTATCATTTATTTCTACCAAATTTAAATAAGGACTGCTGCCTTGTATGTTTAACTAGGCAGGCAGAGGGAACTGGTTTGTTTAGGAAGCAGTGACTGAGATGTCCTGGCCAAGTTAGTGACAGAGGAGGGGAGAAAGAATCCAGACCAATTTGTATGCAGTATATTTTACTCCCATGAAATAAAACACATTTGTTTCATATTTGCTGAAAAGTAAAACAATAATATTGTACGAAATGTTATACACAGGGTAGGTTGTACATAGCAGTTTCAGAAACATCATTGCATCCACCAGAGAAACTATTCTAAAACTGATATTCACACATTTTTTATAATAATAATAATATGTTAGAAACATACAGTGTGGCATTTAGTATATACACTCCCTTGCTCGCAAGCGAAAAATCCTAATCGCTTCTGTATAACATGCTTTATTTTAAAGCCTAACCTTTAAAAACACTGTTGTGATATTACTAACAACTGCTTTTATAAAATTAATTTGACATTTCGATATATATACATCCTTTCAGTCATTTAAATGTTAACAATGCTAAACTTAAAAAATAACAAGCTTATAGTAATGTTAAAATGTCATATCCAGTCAAACATTTGTTTGTGTATGTGTCCTTGCAACTGTTAGAAATACTTGTAGTGAAAGATGTCAGACACTGAGGACATCCCTTTGAAATCAAAGGAGCTCTCTCTTTGATTCAGTGGTTTCCTTTTCTCTATATAGCTTCTCTTTCTCTCCCTTTCTTTAGTGCCCACGACCTTCTAGCATAATTCCCAGTCTTTCAAGGGCGGAGTTGCCCCATCCGGCAAGGTCCTAGGATCCCGGCGCTGTGGGTGCGGCTCACACGGGCCGGTCCACTGCATACTGGCAAGCACTCAGGTTGGAGGCCGGGTTCTGCACGCTGGCGTAGCCGAAGCTGGAGTGCTGCTTTGCTTTCAGTCTCAGGCTGGCCAGGCTCGAGTTACACGTGTCCCTATAAACATACGGAGGAGTCGGCGGCGCGTAAGGACAGGCAGGCGTCGGCACCGCGGAATTCAGCGACGGGCTACTCAGGTTGTTCAAGTTATTCAGGCTGTTGAGACTGGAGCCCGGGACGCCTGTCACTGCTGAGGGCACCATGCTGGACGACATGCTCATGGACGAGATAGAGTTGGGTGGGGAAAACATGCTCTGTGATGACAGGGGGTTGACGTTCATAGAGTTGAAGAAGGGGAAGCTCTTGGTGGATAGGGAGGCGGATGTAAGGCCCTTGGCGGCCCAGTTGTTGTAGGAATAGCCTGGGTACATGTCGTCGTAGGGCTGCATGAGCCCATTGAACTGCGGCCCGAAGCCATTCTTGCATAGCTCGGCCTGCTGGTTGCGCTCCCTCTTTCTCCATTTGGCCCGACGATTCTTGAACCAAACCTGGGGGCGGTTGGGGCAAGGGAGCAAACAGATGCCACAGTGCAGATTACTAAAACTTCCATCGGAGGCCAACCCCCGCCTTCCCCCGACACACACGCTAGCGCACTCACACACCCTGGCCTCGCTTCACTGCACCGCCCTGCACACCAAGATACCAGGGCCAGCTTTCAGTTACTGGCCCGGGTCTCCACCAAGCGCAGGAGACCTGGTCTGCTCTGGCCTGCGAGCTGGGACTCGGAGCTACGCCACAAACCTCAGCCGAACGCATGGAGACCTGCGGACGGTTTGATCACTCAGCCAGGCGTTTCTCCAGGTCCAAAAACACTTAATGTAAAACAAACGCGGGGCAGCAGGCTTTTCCAACCCTTCCCGGGGCACCTTGCAAACTTGCTTCCATTCCAAAGCCACAGACCCACGGATGAGGAGAAGGGGCTGGAAGGGCACTAGAGGATCGCTCTTTCTCCCACGCAATTCCTCCCTTCCTTCCCTGACCTCCACTGTCGTCCCCCACCCCCTGGTACGTGCTCCCTTAACAGGGACTAGGCCGCCAACACTCTTTCTCGCCTAGCAAAACAACCAAATAAAGAGCAAAAGACCACCTCTTCGTCAGCTCGTTAACTCCAGGAGCTTGGCATATTAAACTCCGGGAACCCGGAAAGGGTAGTTTTGGAGATTCCCCCTTCTTTCGCTCTGCCTCTTCTTTACCCTAAGCCCACCACAGGCCTGTCCGCGCGCCAGGCCCAGCCGGGTCGTTTGGCTTTGCAGGCGGCCACCCAGGCCGGCCGGCTTCCACCCGTGTCCGGTGGCCCAGCCGCAACCCCGATCCCAATCCACATCGGGCCTCCCTGTCGCCCCAGACGGCGGCTTTTGTGTATTGGAGAGAGGCCTGGCCTGAGATATCCGAGCTGACACCAGTGATGTTTCACATTACACATCTCCGCCGGGCCCAGCCGTGTAATCCGCTTTTTCTCTTTTTCCTTTCATTCTTGATTTCCTTTTTATCCCCCTTCCTCTTTGCACCCGACTGCTATAAAAAGCACGCCTCACTCCCACTTGGCTCGACAAGCAGCCGCCCTGGAAGGAGAGGCAGCTGCAAGGAGAGCCCAGCGCCGCGGCTACAAAGCACTAGGGTGGAGCTGCGGAATAGCGGGCGGGGTGGGAGGGCGTTTTCGAAGGATCCCAGAAAACCCATAGACTCTGTCTTTAATTACTTGCCATTTCTACCCTAGGCCATCTAAACTTTGCTCAGGCGAGAAGAGTACGTGAGAGGCCCGTTCCCTTGATGTGCAAGAGAGCTAATGAAAGACTGACCTTGCTCAAAACCACGCCGCCCAGGACCCAGCTCTGGCTCTGGACAGTTAAACTAAAACCATTTTCAACTTCTTCCCGGCCTTTTATCCACCAGCATAGCCTCATGCCTTGCACAAATGCCACCCAGAGAGTGTCTTCATTCCCTCTGATTTGGGAGAGCATTTTGGTCTTTATTCTTTTTATCGTTGTTTTCTTCTTTTTGTTTGCTCTGCTCTAACCGGGGGCTTTATTTTTTCTACCCAGAGCACTTAATTTTTTTTTTTTAACAGCAAAGCCTCTGGATGCCGCTTGATTTGCTTGATTCTGTTTTCTGCTTCCAGAATCCTAACAAATTTGGAATCTTCCACCGACCAGCATAAACCAGGACGTTGCTATTGGGTTATTTATTTGAGCTCATTTTTGCCAATCCATAAAGTACAGATTTGCTACAAAGTTAAGGTAAGCCCTTTTTACAAAACTATGATTATAATTTAGAAGAGGGGGTGTGAGTTTCAATTTCCAGAGTTCAACTCCTGAGAGAAGATAAATAAACCAAGCAGAAAAGTCTTTCTTCTTTTTTTCTTTCTCCTTCTAAGAGGACTAGTAGTTGTGTATTAAAACTTTGCTCCCGGAGATCACAAAACTAGGAAATAGGGTGTGTGGGAGAGACCTGAATGGCCGAAACAACCGTAAAGAAGGTGTAAGAAGCGCGAGCCCAGGAGGGAAAAAGCTGGGCCAGGGCCGGGACAAAGGTTTCCCAGGGAGGGCCAACTCTTCCGTGTCTCTGGCGGGTTTTCCTTGTTAAAGGCTCACAGGTTGGAGCCTGTTCGCGGCTCTTGGCCTGGTAGGGATTTTATTAGCTCTGCTCTGGCAACTGCAAGCCAGGAACACAATGTCCTGTGCAGGGGATTGCCCATGCAGCCCAGCTCGTGAGATCGCGGGATGGCGGGGCAGTGAGCCGGTGCCGCTCTGGGAGCCTGAGCCAGGGCGGCAGTCCTGTCGGCCTCGGAGAGGGAACTGTAATCTCGCAACCAGGCCGCCGCGAGGCCTTCTGCCTTTGCAAAGCTGCGCCCCACCGGCGCCCTCCCAGGCGGCGCTGCCTTCCACATTCTCTCCTGGTCTACTTGGCCTGTACCTCCACAACATCCTCCCCCCATCCCTCCCAGACTCCGTGCTGGCTCCTACCCGGACTCGGGCTTCCGTAAGGTTGGTCCACACAGCGATTTCTTCGCGTGTGGACATGTCCGGGTAGCGGTTCCTCTGGAAAGTGGCCTCCAGCTCCTGGAGCTGCTGGCTGGTAAAGTGAGTCCGCTGCCGCCTTTGCCGCTTCTTCTTAGACGGGTCCTCGGCGCCCACGTCCTCATTCTTCCCCTGCTGGCTTTTATCTTTCTCTGAAAACGAAACACACACACTTTCCCGTCAGCATGCCCACCTGCAACGCGGACGCCAACTGGACCGGCGGCAGAAGCCGTGGAAGAGCTGGGCTGCCTGGCGCCGGAGGAGGGTGCGCGCGGCGGCTCCGGGCCGCGAGGAGCGCTGCGCCTGTGGGGTGTGCAGGCGCAAGTGTGGGTGTCCGCGCCCCATTTCCTCCCCTCCCCCAGCGCCGCACGTTTTATTTACATGTTTATCTCACTGCAGCGGCACATTCACTTTTATAGCCTGTGCTTTCAAGTATATTTATACACCTCTGCGCAGACACACCAAATCTCCTGGGACGCGCACACGCGCGTGGTTTACAGACCCCCCTCCCCCTCGCAGAAAGCTCAGATTTCCATGCGGTTTGGGAAGGCTAGGAAAAGATGTGGGGATTCGGTTGGGCACCGAAGTTCGCCGGCCCTTTCCCAAAAAAAAAAAAAAAATGCCTCTTCGCGAAGGGCATTTCTGAGTGGTTTCAGGCAATTTCCTAACGAGTGGAGCTCCTCGGGAGCTGAAAGCCGAGAGGAAAACAGGGACAGAGGTCGGCGGCCTCTGAAGGTCCTCGAATCAAGATGCTGGGATTTTTGTGACCCAGGAAACAGAAGGGAGGCCAGGGTACGAATAGAGAGGGCGGCAGAATTGCTCGCGCCCTTAGCGCCCCAGGAGCCGGGCCGGTCGAGGGAGAACTAAAGGGATGCGGGGTAGTCAAAATTCCGGCTCCCGGAAGTTCTGCGGGGAGCCAGGCGAACGACCACTCCCACCACGCCTCCCCCCGGAGGGGCTGACTTCCTTGGGGCGAGAGGGAGCGGGTGGCGCAGAGCAGCTGAGCGGGAATGTCTGCAGGGCGGCGCGGCGCCTTACCTGCGGCCTCCGGGCTGGAGGTGTCGGAGATGGTGTGCACCTCCAGCCTGTGCTTGGAGGAGTCCAGCGACCGGGGCTGACCGGGAGCCAGAACCGAAGCCATGGCTAACGGCTGGGGATGGTGACAGGAAGATGAGGAGACGGCCGACAGCTTGGTCCCCGCTGCTCGGTGCTCCAAGTGAAGCGGGCCTTTCATGCAGTTCATGGACGAGGGAGCGCGACGCTCTACTAGTCCTTGGCTACTGCCCCGCCGAGCCCCCGTAGCCGCCGCTGCCCGCTCCGGGTCGCGCTCTAGGCGCGGAGTTTCCCCGCTGCGGGGAGAGCCAGGGGACGCAACCCCCGCCGAGTTCTCAAGCCAAGCTGCCCCCGTCTCCTCCGGAAGGCTCAAGCGAAAAAGTCCGGAGACGGAAAGTCAGCGGGCAAACGAAGACATGGGATGTGGGCAGAAGGGCACCACTCAGAGCGTCTTTAGGGAGCAGGCTTCCAAGCTCCAAAGCGAAACAAGAGTGGGCAAAGACCCCCTTCTTCTCTCCCTCCCTCCCCCAAGAACCCCTCCAATAAGGAAAGCTAACGCCGACCGCGCTCTGCCCGCCCCCCCCCCACGCGGCAGCCCTGACAGAGAAGTGTCAAGAGTGACAGGGACAGGTAGGTGATATTAGATCCCCTGCGGCGGCAGCAGCCGCTGCAGCCACGACGCGGCCCTCTGAGCGCACCCTCCGCAACGCGCACACGCACACCCCTCGGGCGGTCGAACAGGAGCCGGGCCTTGCCGCAGCTCAGCTCCAGGCACCCAGGCGAGCGACGGACCAGATCTGCGGCTCCGCGCTTCCCTGTTGGCCTAACATCTTAAAACCAGAGGCGGGCTTCCTGGTGCCGAGACGTCACTCCGCCGCGGCCCTCCCCAGCCCTCTCCGCCTCCGCCTCCTCCCAGACCCTTCTCCGGGTGCGACTGACGTGGCTCCGCACCAATCAGGACGCCCCGAGCCGCGGTGGAGGGACTGTCCTGCCTGCACCTATCAGCAGTGCGGGGCCGGGCTACTGCCTCGCCGTGCGCACTGGGTCTACACAGGCAAGCTCCCGGGAATTCAGCTCCTGCCCAGCCCAAGGCGATCCGGCTTTTAGTACGAACCCAAAGGTGAAGAGATGAGGCTAGGAGTCGAAGGCTTGGGAGAAGAGAGTGGAATGGTCAAGAAGAGAAAGGTACAAGGATCAACAAGACACCCACTCTTTGTGTCTCACTACATCCATTTCCAATCCCCCACCCCATATAAAAAGGAGACACGTTACTTAAAACTAGAAAATTTGAAAAACAGCAACAAATCACCTCTCCGATCTTAAATTTTCCAAACAGCCTGTCAAGTGAATGCTGCGCTAATCTGAAGAAGCTTTAATTGCAAAGAAGACAGAGCCCTGAAAAGGCAGGCTAATAAATTAGAAATCGAGAAGCAAATGGACCCGTCAAAAGAAAATTACCTTGACTTTAAACGAACAACTGTTTGGTGGTTCACTCTGGATTTATACAAGAATAAAAAGTCGCCTCAGATCACGTTCTCTGTGATGCTTATTAGTCCCCAGACAGAAAACACACAATAGAAGAGAAACCCTAACCCAGCGTTTTCAAAATGCTGAAAGCTTATCCATTCTACTTAACGTTGATTAAGACACATATCCTAGATCTTTCAAATTCCTTGTACACTGTATTAAGCTCGTCCTAACCCGAGAGAGCCACGCTTTAAATTCGACTCTCTTGTTTACTTTATTATCAATCAGATTTAAATCCATAAAGCCTGTAGAATCAACAACCTTGAGCTAATTATATATGAAATATGCCTTAATGAATTTCCATACAATTAAGAATGTTGCCAAATAACCAATTTCAAGGATAATTTTTAACAGTCATTTTCTTTTCCCAGTGAGCTCAAGGCTGTCTTGAGCCATTAAAGTCCAAGCAGGCAGAAGGGGTGTGTGTGAGCTAAGGGCGAAAAGCCTAGAACTGCGCTCAACTAGCAAAAGCAAAACCTTATTTATATAAAACAAAAAAAATCACCTTTGGAGACATCAACTCTTTATAGCACTGTTTCCAAGCAAATTTAATTTCCAAAGAAATTAAAGAAAGAAATCCAAACATATTCAAAATAATTTTTGAAAGTCCTTTTGTCCCCCAGCATAGGTCAGCTGGAGAGGACAAACTAATCTCCTCTGGGTTTCTGCATGGGCGATTGTTTTACTATGGAGTTAGTGTTATCATCTCTGAATGTGTATTTGTTTGACATTACAGTCAATGATTTGCAATGCCAGCATGAAGTATCTTTAAAACACTCCCTCCTTGTCCTTGTTCACAAGATTGGGAAACTTATTCGATGTGGAACAAAGTGGATGAAGCAGACTACAAATATATTTGCAACTTATGTGTCTCTCCTTTGCCCTGACCACCCCCAAACCCTATCTGCAACTCCTCCCCATTTTAAACTTGCAGTCCAAAGACGCACATGAGAATTGTTTTTCAGTCTTTCTTCACCAGTATCATCCCACTTTAAGAATAATTTAGCTGCAAGGGAGGAATTTCTTCATAGTAAGCTTTAAATCAGCATTTCTGCTTTTAACCTTTTATTCCACTTTACCCCATTCCACACATACAGACACCTGCTCAGAGTAAAACACATCCTCATGTGACAGGTCTGCATTAGCTGAGGCTCATACATCCAGCTATATTAGGTCCTGCAATCTTATCACTAAATTATACACATTACACTAGCAGCCTGTTGGTAAAGAAGGTTAAATTAATTTACATTCTGCTCATTATCTGGTGCTTAAATGACGCATTTTATCCCGGAGATTTGGCGGAGAATCTCCTTCTCAGACCCCACAGCGTTTCACTGAAGACAATGCTCTTACATTTGTAGTGGTTTTTAATCTGATAAGACTCTAATTTGCTTAAGTCTTTTAAATAAGGGTTTTAAATGTTTCTAGCCGTTTTCTTATTGAATTTCCTCTAATTCCCCCAAGATCATAAAGTATATGTGTAAAGTAAATATTTCCTCCCATTGCACTGCCAGCCGATGACCTATAACTAAGTCAATAAGAATCCAGCTCTTTTCTGCTGAATGTGTTTACTAATCATATTCCAGTTTCTTCTTTTAAACCTCAGAATAGCTGTGGTCCCCACAATACCATGCCCCTTAAAGCTTCATTTCATGAAGGGACTCCATCACATTAAAGAATGAAAAAAATCTCCACTGTAGTTAGTATACACAGCCCCTCACTCCTTGTTTTTCAAGATTCAAACCCCAGAGCTGCAAATATTTTTGGAAGCTTGGGTGTTAATGCCTTATTTTAGAAAGCCGAGAAGCCCCACAGAGCCATATAGATTTCTAAACCCATCTCTCATAAACCCACAGAATTTTGATAAAAGCTCTGGTGGCTCCACTCTACCGATGGAACTTTCATCACGACAAATATACATGTATGAAGGACCTCAATCAGCCTCCAAAGTGGTTGAAAAACCCAAGGGCACGTGACTGCTCCTCATAGTGCCAACGTGTGCGAGATGTTGGAAGCACTGGGGATCAGCAGCAGCCTAGATGCCTAAAAAGATAAGGTGTCCTAATTTGTGTGGACCCATTGAAGTCAAGTGGTGAATAAAGACAATTATCTAGATAATTCAGATTAAAGTAAAAGCAAAACCATATCTATTTGTATATATATATTCACATCCATTTTATATTACAGACACACACACGCACACACACACTGGCTCTGTAAACAACTGACTCAAAGTGAGGATTTTCTTTGCATTTTTCCAGCAGGAGTTTCAACATTCTCCTAATCTCCTAATCACTTTACACACTCACAGCAGCGGCGATTGGGTGACATTCTTCTCAGGCCCCCTGTGTGGCAGGACACCAACATGATAAGTCTGCATGGGGAAAAGGAGGTATGTGGTGGGAACTAAGAAACACTGTCCAGTGAAAACTCTGTGGCATGGTGGTGGTTGATTTTGGAGATTTAATGTACATAAGACTTGTGGGTGCACAGGCATAGGCAGCATGGATGAGAAAGGGGCCAGAAGAAAATAAATCTTATGCATTTTGTGATTCCAGCATTACTGTGACCTCTGGCTAAGTTCTTCTTAATTGGTTTTAGAAATTACTATGAGTTCAGCCTCTAACACAGAAATTTCCAATACGGAGAACATTGGTGGGATCCTGGTAGGGAAACTAGAGGTGCTGCATGGCTCACGTGGGGCAAAGAAGGAAAGCCCAGTGCCGGCGTGAGGTTTTGAGTCTGGGAGACATCAGGGGTTGTCTCGATTGGGGTTTCTTGCTTATTCTTTCAAAGAAAGACCCTAGAGGAGGGAAATGTGTGACATGGGGTCAGCCGTGTTTTGTGCTGGTATTTGCCACCGATTACCAGTCTTAAAGTCTTATTTAATTTCACACTCTTCAGTGTTAGTTGTGCAAAGTCCCTCTGGCCATGGCAGTGAGCGGTTGGGCTGTGCCGCCAAACTCTCCGTATCAATCTGGCCTGGGACTCAACCAAGTGATCTCTGACTTTTGGAAAGAGTCTGTCTTCAGAGTTCACCCAGAAGATGGCTTAATTAGACATCTCCCTGAGCTGTTAGGCCTTAGACGGGTGGGAGTCCTGCCCTGCCCAAGCTAGCTCAAGGACGAGGCCCGCCTGGACTCAGCTTGGAGCCACGTGATGGGCGTGAGTGTGTGAGCTCCTGGTAAGGCGCAGAGGTCAGATGGAGACCTTGCATCCTGCCCGAGAAGTGCCCCACCCCCTCCAATATCTGGCTTTTCTCTGCATACAAACCAAGCTGAAAACAGTCCACTACCCACCACCCCTCATAGCTATGGAACCAAATAACCCAGAAATTAAAAGCTTCACTGTAGCTGTCCTTTTCCCCATTTCCTAAATGGAATTTAAAAAGCTCTGGCTTGTCAAAAGGGGAAGATTATTTTCTGAATTGGAAGTCTGTAGATATATTGAGCAACAGCCACCCTCTCTGGGTCCCTGCAAATGGTACCCATTTTTCCAACCCACAGCTCTAGCTGCTCAACCATTTGAGATTTGGGGTAACTACCTGGGGGAACAGTGTTCAGATGGCAGTGGGAGTTACCACCTCACAGTGGCCTGGGGAAGAGAAGAGAAAGAGATTAGAGGAGGGGGCATTTGCTAAAATCACTCAACGAACATGCTGTTAATGCTTCCTCACATTTGCATGTTACTGCCACAGTTTTCCTAGGTGTCACTGAGTCTCCAGAAAGCAACTACTTGCCGAACTAAGTAAAATAAGGAGAATGGTATAGCACATGTGTTTGGAGAAGGGGAAGGAAGGGTGGAATATGAAATTGAGCATAGATATCCAGGTCAGGAAAGAAGGAAGTGGCAAGGGGCTAAATGAAGTCCCACCCCCCCGCCACTTTTTTAAACAACAGTTGGATTAAACACTCATCTGTCTTCCTCTTTTTCTCTTTTCTTCCCTCTCCAGCTTATGTCCATCTCCCTTTTCTATTTCTTTTGCTCTCCCTTCTTTCTGTTTTCTCTCTCCCAGACATGCTGGTAGCTAACATTCAGCATTAGTTGTCATGGTGACCATAAATCACCTAAATCCAAAAATACCCACCTATAATCTGAGATGAAGCTTTTATTTCCCTAGCGAAATAATATTTTAAAAGCTGTCAGCTGACAAAAAAAAAGGAACCCACCTCATTGTAGTAACCCAAGTAATATATTACTTCTAAAGGTTTAAATTAAAATGTCAGCCTGTTAAAAACATGCTGGTAGAGTCTTGGACACTCTTCCCGTCAGATCCTCACAAAGAAGTTGACTCTGTCATTCCTGGTCGCTCTTTAACATACACACACAATTCTGTATGCTCTCTCCCTTTCTATTAATTTCTTCCTCCCCTACCAACTACTTTAGTTCTCAAAGACTCTACGCATTGGGTTCTAAAAGAAAAGAATCTCCTCCTGGATCAGAAAACAGCCTCATTGGTTGCTGAAGTGAAAGATGTGGGGTTTAGGGGGAAAGGTTATTAGGACCATAATGGCGGTGGTGGTAGGAGGTCATCCTAGAGGAGTTAAGAAGAAAAAAAAATGCAGGGAGAAGGACTGGAGGTGGAAAGACAGAGTAACAGAAAACTGAGCTGGGTGGTCAGGTGCTGCGGTGAAGTCTAGCCCCGAAATGATAGGTATATATTCTCCCACTCCTGCCTTTTTCTCCTCTGAGAGAAAACTTTCCTAGTCAGAGACCCTGGGGGGTAGGAGGCGGGCAAACGCCGCTGCAGTTGGGCCTTTTGTCTTCTACCTTGGGCTTGTTGTCTTTTGCCTATCTTGGATTACAGGGTATTCGCCTAGATGAAGAGCCATTAATTACCCATTCAGTCAATATTAGGAAGACGACAAAGCTTTTTACATAGGATTAAGAAGACATCAGATTGTTCCATTAGTATATTCCTGCTCACGAATAAGCTTTCGTTATACATTTCCTTTTCCCCCGAGCCGCTCTAACAACTGCTGCATATATTAGCAGCGGGCGGTGAGGAATAACAGCCGAACCAGCCTTAAGAAACTTTGTGTACCGAGTCAGCAGCGAGGAACGCGACCTGTGAAGACCACTTTTGCGGGCAGGGATCCGCAGGGACTGACTACTTTCGGACAACTGGTACAATTTCCCCTGGGGGTGAAAAACCACAACGCGGCGGGGCACCTTTCAAGTGAGCTGCAGATTTGATTGGCGCGGGGGGTGGGGGAGGGGAGGGGAGAATGGGATGGCGGAGGTCGGGCGGAGGAAAGAAAATGGAAAACTCTCCTTACCCCTATTTCGTTGCTTTTTCCTCAAGCCTCATGCCCCCTTCGGCAAGCACCTGTCCCTTCCGCGCTAGCCACAGCTAGAGTTCTCCACCTTTCTCTACACATCCCCTTCTTTCTGACAAGGCTCAGGACCTTGGTCACCACCCCACGCACCACCATTTTGCGTTTTGCTAGAGACGGTCTGGGCTGATCTCGCTGGTGTCCATGTTAGGATTAAAATCCCTTCATGACGGCGAGGAAAACTGTATTATTTGCTTTCAGGGGGTACATTAGGAGTCCACGTAGTATATGCTCCGCAAACATTCGCTGATTGAATGAGAGGCGCGGGGGCGGGGCGGCGGAGAGGGGTCTGCGGCCGCCAAGGCCGCCAGGGTTAACCCAGGTCCTTCGAAGAAGGTTGGGACCGAGCTGCTGCCGCGTGTGAAGGTGTGTGTCGCGGCTGGGGGTGCCACAACGGGCCATGGAGCCCACCTCCCAGAGGGAGGAAGTCTGTGCACACCAGCGACTTGGGTCGAACACTTTCAGCCCATCCACTGGGCCAAAGCTATTTAACAATTAATGCGTTCCTGGGGGAGGCCGGGGGAAGTACCCGCCCCTTGTCGGGACGCAAAGCCAGGCGTCAGGTCCAAAGGGGCTGCAGTGCAGTCCGATTTCAGCACGGAACCCAGAGCCGCCGCCCTGAAACTTTTTAAGCCAGTGACAGAGGAGGGTCAGTCCGTCCTCCTCCTGAGGGTGAAGACCATTTTATGAGTTCCTTTCAGGACCCCCAAAGCAAGAAAAGCCAAAGAAAGGTCTCTTTGCTCTAGGGGGTCGTTCTCAGCTGGCTTCTACACCATCTTCTGCTAGCTGCGTCCACCCTCTCTCAAACCTCTGGCTTTTAGGGGTCTCCAGTCGCTCTCGTGCTACCCCCGTTTCGGGGTTCTATCCAGGCTGGGCATCCGCCCAATGGATACCAAGGAGAATGGGACTCACTAGGGAAGGAAGGCAGAGCCTGGACTGCTTAGAGGTGGACTCTGCCTATACAGAACGTTTAGTCTTTAACGAGGACATGGTATTTTTGGGCGGCGTTGGGGGCAGAGGCGGAGAGGGTAGCGTAATAGACTATCACGGCCTTTTGAAGAAGTCATATGTCATTGTGAACTTTTTTTCTCTTTAAAAGCAAAGAAAAACTTTAAAAAAACACAAGAAATAAATCCTTTTGTTTTACAAGCAGGCTGTGGCCAGGACTTTGGATATTCCATAAGTTAACTTAAAATCAGGGAAGGATAGGTGCTCTATCCTTCAGCAGTGCTATAGCTTTGCCCACTCGTGTGATTTTTTTTTGTCGTCTACTAGTTCCTTAAAAGCCAATTAAATCAAGATTTTCAGCATTTCTTCCCATTACATGCCTTTTCTTAATTAATGGCATTAAACGTGTTTAGGCAGCAATTTTTCTTTTCGGTCAAAAAGTAGAAAAAGACATATTGAGTGTAGGGGAAGAGCCTTTCACGTGCACTAAAACAATGCGGGCCTGAAAGTAATGGTTAAGAAAGCAATCATTCATTATTTCTAGTTCTTTATGTGCTAGTTATCAAAAGCGAACGACCAGGGGCGCCTGCGCGGCTTGTGACTGGCGCAAGCAGAACTCCTCTGCTCTTAGCCGTTTCCTGCTCACCTACGAGGACCCCATCCTACCGTAGGCTTCTCCACCTGTCCTCAGAATGCATTCCCCATGTCTAGGAAACCTGGGGTAGGGACTGGGGGAAGGAGACATTTTGCGTCTCTCTGGCTCCCAGCACAATAAGAAATGTCAGCCTCGGCTTGGCGACTGCGAGCCCGCCCCGCGCGAAGCGAGATTGGGGAGCTCCTCTAGTCTGGCCGGAGCCAGGGCTGAGCCCGCGCAAAGCATTCTCCCCAGAAGTCATCGCTGCTCTTGATTTTTAACCATATCCCAAACATACTACGGTCTAATAATTTATTTTTACTACCGATTATCAAACAGAAGAAGAATTTAACACAATCTAAATGACAGAAATCACGCGACGTTATCTCTGCATTGCCCCCATTTAACCCCATGGGGTTAATCCCGGACAAGTGAGCGTTTAACTGGCCCAGCAGGGCGACTGGCGGTGTAGTGCAGTGTCCGGGCGTGAAGCACTGGATCGCTTTAGACGCTTCATTTCAACAAATGATCATTTTCTCTCAGATTCACGGGGAAACTCCAATGCAAGACCTTTGTTTTCTTCTTAGTAATACGGTTTGTTTTTTTGACCGGGGTCCCAAATCGCCCCCCTCCATCCCATATTACATTTGTATTCTTACACTTTAATCCGGAAAGAGGGGGTTAGGGGCCGAGGGCTGTGGGGGGGGGGGGGCTTTATCTGCTCACATTATCAAAGGTCAATAGCCTCCTAAGGCTAGGCACTTATTTACTACGGAGCCAGGAAAATAGAGGAACAGTAAATTTGAGGGGTTTTTTTCCATGTATTTGAAAAGAAAGGCATCTTCCCTCCTCCATCCCTTACACCCCCCCCTCCGCCCCATAGAACAAGTTTCAATTCAGGAAAGGCCTGTGGCGTAGGTTGGAGACTTTTTAACTTTTTACATAAGCCTGTAGACCTCCTCTGGCAATGTCCCTCGATTCCTCCAGAGTGAAACCAGCCAATCAAGCAACGACATCGCCAAAACCCAAGGCCTGGCAACCAGTACTTCAGGCAGGTTCGCGTCGACAGGGGCAAACCTCCATTCTACCCTGGGCTGCTAAGCACAGTGGCTGCCCTCCAGCTCTTCAGGGATGTTGTCGGCCCCCCGCCCCTCCCCCAACCAGCCAAAGCAAACCTTCGCCAACTCAAGTTTCCCTTGCTTGCCTCCCGCGATGAACCGCGCACCCACAAGTCTGGGTGGGGCGTGGCTGAGAGCCTGAGTGACTGAGTGGGCCCTGGTGGTGCTGCGCGCAGCGGGATATAACGAGCGACAGAGGTCGCTGTTGGACCACTTTTCCACGCCAGCCTAGACGCCGAGGTTTGCTGGAGCGTGCGCAGGGGATCAGACCACAGGGAGCGAGCGAGAGGGAGAGAGAGGTGTTGGGTCTCAGGAGTGCAGTATAATTTGGGGAAAGGAATTAACGTCCCTGGGACGGCTGCTTCCCGTCCCACCCAGAGGCGGAGTGTCTAAGTTCAAGCAGCAGGCGCGTCAGGTCTGGCGGCCTCGCCTTCTTGCGCTTCGCCCGAGGCCCAGAGTCCCGGAGGCGGGTGCCCAGCGCGCGGCCTGCGCTTCCCTCCCGGCCTTACCATTGGCGCCAGGATGCTGCCGCGGGAAGAACTTGCTGCTGGCTGCCTCTTTTCGGCTCTCAGGAGAGTCCGTGAACTCGACCTTTTTGATTTCGGAGTCTTTGGAGAAGAGACATTCAACGGCCGCCGGCTGCACGCCTGGGCCACGCGCGCGCCCGCCCCACGTGCGGAGAGAGGCGTCCCGGACCGCGGCCGAAAGGAGCCGGGGACGGGAGGAGGGGGAGGGGCGAGGCAGGCCGGAGGAGAAAGAGGGACAAAGAGCAAAGACCCAGTTAGAGGAAAGAGCTGACGGCATCCCCGTCCCCCGGACCCTCTGGCAACCCGGGGCAGGATGGCGTACTCTTTCTGCGCCTCCCCGGTTGCCGGCGGTTCCAGCCGGGAGGAGTAGGCTGGGGGGCTTCGGTACACAGCGCGCCGCTGCTTCCTAGTCCACCGCCCCGCCACAGGGAGAGGCCACTGGCGATTTGGTTCTGATTTCCTTCCTGCCCAGGCTGGCCCCTCGGGGAAGCGCCCCTCGCTGGGGCCTCGCCGCAGGGCCAGTGCCCTCTTGCCGCCCTCACGTGGCGCGGCCTCCCGTCCGATGACCCGGGCAGGAGAAGGGGGTTCTTACCTAATTGCACACACGCCGACACCAGTTTGCGGCAGTTGGTCTCCATTCCCCGTTATCTGCAAAACAGAAGAGAAGGAAGGCTGTAAGAAGCGGCGGCCGTCGAGTGAGCAGGGCTCAGATGAGACTACGTTACACTAGCTGTTAGGCGCCTACTGTGTGCTAGGCTTCAGGCGTGTTTTTCCGACCTGACAGCCTCTGGCTGTGCAGCAGCATCTCCAGCCTAGCCTCGGGCCCAGGACATTTATTTATCAAGAGGGGATCTCCCTCCAGAGTTGCCGCAAAAGTGCCCAGAGGTTAGAGGACTATAAAGCCACAGTGTGCTGGGGAGGCTGTGGACCTACTTTCAAGAATCTCGGTGCCGGGGTTAAGAACTCATCTGAACGCAATGGCAGCGGGAGTGGGTGGGTGGAGAGGACTTTTCTCTTTGGGAAGCTGTATGCAAAGACCACCCTTCAGTGCTTGTCCATTAGTTGGAGCTCGGTAAACATTTGTAGAACATCAGCGCCAACGTGCCCCTGTCCTAGACAGCAGTTTCCCTCGGTTTTCTGTAATTCTGAAACGAACGGGCTCTTGGCCTAGGGTGTTTCAGGAGCGAGCTGAGTTCGGGCCTCTCATCCATCAGGAGCCACTTTTCCATATTTAGCCACACTTTCTCCTAGAGATACTAACCCGGCCATTTATTTACTTACTACAAATAATTACCCTAAAGTATGATTTAAGATCGCAGAGGAGAGACACTGGGTGGACTGAGCGAGACTGAGGAGAGCAGGGCAAACGTTCTTGGAGGGTTTACTGCCCGCCAAGGACGGAGAAATAGCTCTGGTATAACTGCTACCCAGTTCTCCCCCTTTCTCTCCCGGGCGAGCCAAATCTTTTTCACGTTTTCAACCACAACGCAGCGAGCCAAGCATTTAACGCGCTCCCCCTTCTCTGCCACAGGCAAGCCGGGAGAGGTGGGTCTCGAGGGGCTCCACCGGGTGGGTAGAAGAGCCGCGGTTGCTTTAAAGACAAGAAAAGAAGGTCCAGGGCTCCCTAGGCCCCTTCGATCTCAGCGCCTGCCTCTCTCCACGCTAACCAGGGTACGCCGACGACCGGAGGGCCCACTTCGCGCGGGTGCGGGGATCGGGGTGGGAGCAAGCGTTGTCGGGTTGGCGGAGGCACAGAGGCGGGGCAGGGAGCTGCGGGCCTGCCTCTGGCCTGAGTACCGTTTCCCTGCGTCTCGGCCTCTCCTGAAGGGAGCTGGGCCCTGGGGAGCCTCTGGCCAAGGTCGCTGCCTACAGGAGGGGCTGCCCGGCGCTGTGGCGTGGGGATCCAGGGTGGGGACGGCCAGGCGGTTCCCCCACCCGCTAGCGAGAACGCGGGCGGGGACTCTGCCGATTCGATCCTTGTGGGCCCGTGGGCCCAGAAGTAGCAGTTTGGCGGCTCCAGATTTAGTGATTCTGCAGTAAAATCACAGGATTAGTCCCTGATTGAGATGTCTGTTCGTGAGATATTACAAAATTCATTATCACAGCTTTCTACTAACTCGATATGAAGTAACACAGATGGGATTTTATTAGTCCAGACTTCAAATGTTTACTTATGATAATTTCGGAGGAAATTTGCATGTCATCATCATTTCGATAATCTTTTTTTTTTATATGTCTGAACTGGCTGCATTATTAGCTGGTAGCCGGAGCACTGCAGATGGTAACTGCAAATAGTTTTTATTTATTTATTTTTTTTAAAGAATGAAATATACAAAAGAAAAAGATTGCGTTGCTTGGTGTAAAGTCAGTCAATTATTACACATTCTTCCCCCCACTTCCCCGTGCTTCAGTGCTGAAGACCAAACAAAGCAATACAAAACAAATCTTCAAGAACTCATAGAGCTCCACTCTAAGGACTGAAAAGAAGGTCAAGGCGTGTTCCTTAGCTCACTCCTACATGTCCTTGTGACTTGGAGATTTATTTTGCAGTCAAAATGAGCCTTGAGACTTGCATTTTTATGCTTCATTTAATGACCAGGCCTACTAGAAGAACTGAGTCTAAATAACTGGGGAAGATAATTTTTTAAAAAGAGACCTCCAATTCCCGCCTGCTGATCCTTAAACTTGCCCTATCAAGACAAGTCTTCTGTGAGAAATTTGGCTGCCAGACTTCGGAACTGGCTTCAATGGCTAATCTCACAAATTGAGATGGGAGACTTTTCCTGATGGGAGGTAGTTCTCACCCCCAAAGTTCATGTTCTAGTTGGAATGTATATGCCAAGGACTCTTGTTTTGGCCAACTTGGGTTTTATATTGTGAGCACACAAAAAGCACTACACGGCTAACGGAGGACGAGGAACCATGGCAAAGCAGGCAGGCAAGCCCTAAGAAATAAAACAATTTGCTAAAAAATAATTTCTGATGACTACCGCAAGACTGAAAGTGCAGGAAAAATACAGTTCGAATAATCCCAGATCCTTTCACATTTCCCCCCTTTTCATACACTTTGTTACCCCATAACAAAATCTTTAATGGAAAGTTTAAAAATAAACAGCACAGGAACATGTGTTTTAAATGAACTAAATTGTGAAATTAGCCAGTAAATTAATTTGTAGTAAGTAATTATTTAAGGAAATTAAAATACTGCTCAGTTCAGTTCTGTATTTTACCATGTGTATGCGTTCTTTACAACCAATTAATATAAGTGCTTTAGGAACATTTGAAGACAAACACGCTTAACTTAAGGAACAAAGCACCTAAATAATTTAAGTGTAATTTTGCTGAGTTAAAGTAAAACATTCCACAAATGAAGTGGCTATTTAATTTTTTAGGGAAAGTTTGGTTATTGAAATGTTGTATGCTCATGTTACATCAACAAAAATCTTCAATTTATTTTGCTTATGTGCTTTGTTTTCTTGATATTATTGGTATTTGAATTTTAGATGGATTTCTGCCAAAATGATATTTTGTGTGATAAAAGCATCTTTAGTTTTGATTGATAGACTAAAACAAATGCAAGGAAATTTCTTTAAATCAGATTAATTTTTCATAAAAATATTTTAGAATGTATGAATTCTGATATTTACATTTATAATGGTAAAAGTTTTTTCCGTTTAGTTTAGTAAGACAATACTCACACAAAAGAGTAAAAAAAAATCACACCACCTTATGATAGTTTGATTTCTAAATTGCTTAAGAAAGTAAAGTGGTTAAACTGGAAAAGAGGAACATATTTCGGAGGTTTAGAATCGAAAATTTTTTTCTTAATCTCCAGCTGGAAAATAATTCTCTGCATCCATTTAAAGTGTATCTCCTGAAGTGCCAGATTGGAGTTGACTGGTGATCAATTTAAAGGAGTTACAATCCAAAGAAATGGTGAGAGCTTGGCATCCAGGCCTGGCTCCCAGGTAATTCGCTTGGGCCTGAGAGGTCACTAACTGCCAGTTAAGATGGAATCTTTTTCTTTTCTTTTTTTTCCCAATGGATAACAATGGGAAGGGGGCTAATCTTCCAGTAGCTGAAACTTTGTACCCAGCCCTTTATCTTGAGAATGCTAATCCTTGGCCCGAGGATTTGTTCCTGCAGTGTTGGCACCGAGATTTAAGGGAAGATACCTCGTTTTAAATGCCAGCCACGGTCTGGCTTCCCTCTCGACTTCAGCACCCTGTAGATTGTTAGTGTCTGTGGCGGGGGACGAAAGGAACAGGGCTTTGCAAGGTCTGTTTGCCGACTGCGTTACCTTGGGCGAAACTTAGCCCCAAAAGCCACAAATCACCTACGGTGAAGATTCTCCGAAGTGGAACAAATTTCCAGACTCGCATTATCTCACATCCCTGCGGGATAGATGGCCTCCACTTACCGGCTACCGGGAGAGAGCTGCTGTCTCCGCGTCCCACTGCTTCCCGGGGCGATTTCCAGCGAGCCGAGCCTCCGGCTGCACGGCAAGCGCCCGAAAGCCGGGCCTGAGAGGACTGCAGGGCTCCTGAGGGTGCCAAGTTCCGAAGGAGTCCACGGGTGCACTGGGGCCTCCGAAATCTAGCCGCCACTGGCAGTTTCTTTCTGCTCCTCTCCAGCTTTCTCGCTCGGTCTCGCACTCTCTCTCCTCTCCCTCCCTCTCATCCCTCTCTCTTCCCTCTGCTCCTACTCCGTGTGGGGAGTGACGTGACGTCAGCAGAGATTCCACCAAACTCCACTGCACAGTGGCGCGCGGGCGGCCGGCCGAGCCCGGCTGCGCGGCTGGCGATCCAGGAGCGAGCACAGCGCCCGGGCGAGCGCCGGGGGGAGCGAGCAGGGGCGACGAGAAACGAGGCAGGGGAGGGAAGCAGATGCCAGCGGGCCGAAGAGTCGGGAGCCGGAGCCGGGAGAGCGAAAGGAGAGGGGACCTGGCGGGGCACTTAGGAGCCAACCGAGGAGCAGGAGCACGGACTCCCACTGTGGAAAGGAGGACCAGAAGGGAGGATGGGATGGAAGAGAAGAAAAAGCAATCTGCGCCAACCCGGCAGCCCTAATAAATCAAAGGGGGAGCGCCAGGGCAGCGGGGAGACAGAAACGTACTTTTGGGGAGCAAATCAGGACGGGCTGGGAGGAAGCGACAGGGAAAGTGGCCCAAGAGACGGAACAAAGGACAATGTTCATGGGGTTGTTTGGGACGAGGCGTGTGGAGTGTGGGTGTGAGCGTGCGTGTGTGACCTTCTTTCAGGCCTGCAGAGTTGAGGAAAGAGGTCACAGCAAAGAGGGACTGCGGAGGGAGGAAAGTGAGAGACCGGTAGAGGGCGGGAGTGGAGGTGGGCGCGGTGGGGATGGGAGAGGATGAGTGAAGAGAAATCTAGAAGAATGGAGTGAGCTAGTGGGAGAGGGTGGGAGGGCCACAGCCGGGAGCGAACGAGCTAGGCTTGTCAGCTGGGGAAGGCCGGGACGCTGGGCCCAGCTTAGCTGGGACACCGCGCCCGAGGTCAAGGCGGGTGGACCAGGCATGCTGAGAGTGTCGGCGCACAGGTGGGCACGGCCACGCACTGACCCAGTGTTCACGAAGGGTTTGCACTGGACAAGGCTCAGACGCTCATAGAGTCTAGAATTTCCTCTGCTGTACCTACATTCAACAAGTTCACCCTGGGTCACGGATATCTCATTTTTTAAAATGACGAGGTTAAGGTTCCTGGCGAGGATGGTATTAAATTGCACGGGATAGAAGTGGGGGTGGGGGAGAGAGTTTCCCTCAAGTCCACATTTGCTCCTGCAAAGCAAAGAGTATGTGAAATTACAGGGCATATTCTCACTCGAAAAGTGTGCCTTACTTCTGAACCCTGATTTTCTGATTTCTTGACTTGAGCAAAGATGTGTATTTTGGTAGTGAGCAGAATATTTTGGCTCTGTCCTGCCTCTGAGTGGAAGGACTATAAATATAATTCGCCTGGAGGACCAGGTGTGAAGGCTTCTGCCAGGCATATGGGACAATGTTTTTTCAATCTCAAGGGCATCCTGTTAATGTATGTTTTTGGAAAGTGCCGGAACACAGCCATTGCTCCTGGATTCGGATTTTCCCACCAATATTAATTCCTGCTTGAGAGCAAAACTCAGGCCCGCTATTAAAAAGACATCTCTTTGGTCCCTAATTGAGAATAAAGTTCCCTCTAAAAGTTGTATTGCTCTTCCTAAATCAATATACCAATACTCGCAATTTTAGAAATATATAGTGACTCGGGAGAATGTGCATAAAATAGATACGTTTAAAAAAGCTTGGCGCTTAAAACTAACCCTAGTCACTATATAGGTGCTGGGCTTTCCCTACTTTTGGGGGCTGTCTGGAACATGTTATGTGTTTTCTTGAATTACTCCGTGTTTTGAATTCATTTGAGTTAGCAGTAAAAACAGGCAAACAAACTTGCTCAATTTGTTTTGAGTGCTAAATCCCTTCACTTTGAAATAGCTAACAGTCGACAGATGGACTCATTTTATGGAAAGGGTTAGCCTCTTCAGCCACGAAGAAAACTGATTAGAGATCTACATTTTAAGCCATTTCTAACCTCCACGTAACATCCGTGAAAACTCAAACTTTCTCTCTTTACCCAGTGGAAACTCAAAGCAGTGTTATTTAAGGGGAGAGAAATGAGGGGGAAAATGCCCACGTGCTGTTTAATTGTATTTCCTCTCTGACTCTGAGAATTTCTATTTCTGGTTTTTGAAATCTCGCCGAGGCAAGAAAATCAAATTTCTTCAACAAGTCCCACAACTGAACTCTAGTTACAGGACACCGGAAAGTGCAGTCCGAGAAAGACATCTTCACCTCTGCCCATCGACGATTTTTGCAGCCTCCCCATTCCTCTGAGTAATGGGCTAATAATCCTCCCTTTTTTTCTTTTCATTTTGTAGAGATTAAGAGGCGCTCGTAGCAGAACGGCCTTGCCTTCAGCTGGTGGCGAGGATAGGCAATCTCATGGAAAAGTTGGAAGAGAATGAGAAAACCAAAGACAGAAAGATTCAGAGATCCGCGGAGAGACACAGGGAGAGGGAAGGGAGTTGCGCTGAAAAGACGCAAAGATACGCGCGTGCAACTCCCTCCCCTTTCAGGTTTCAGAGGTTTGCAAACCAGGGCTGAGAGGAAGGGGCTCGGGAAGCTCACGTTCCTCTCGCCCCCCTTCTGTCTGGAGTCTCGCCCGCCAGAGGCTGGTTAACCCCAGTCCCGGCCGCCGCAGACACTGCGCTGAGCTTTTGGGTCCTCGCCTTGCCCAGCGCCAGTGCAGCTGAAGTGAGCAGCTGGTGGGAAATGCAAATGGCTCCTGGAGAAATAGAAGATACAGAATGATTCTCATTCCCTCCTCGAGTGTGTGGAAGGAGCTGGACATACGTTTCACGCTCCTAATCCTTCTTTTACATTTTTAGTCATACTCCTATTAAACAACTAATTAATGCCCAGAATCACCAGGGAATACATTAGGCATGCAATCGTAGAAGCAGGGTGCTGGGGGGCTACAAACCACCGAGCTGATTTAAGACGTGGATTTCAGGTTTTTCCCTTGTCAAAGCAGTAAAGGAAGAGCGGGCCTTGGCGACTGTATTTAGATTCCGATTACTTCAAATTAGAAGGGGGTGGAGGGAGCGTCCAAGCAAAGCAAGCAATTCTCTGCCCTGCAGATGTAAACAAGATTGTAGCATCAAAGGTACTAGCTCCTTTAGGGCTAGATCGCCTGGACTGGGAGCCTGGGGAAGGGGAGACACTAACCTTACGTATCTGTGAATTTCAAGGATGTTACATTTTTACATAAACAACTCCAGTGCGGATTCTCTGGAATGGGGGGAGTAATACCCCCATTCTAGAATATTAAAACATTTTCCCCCCAAAGCGTATATCCTTTTTATTTCCTCAAAATTTTGAACTATGTCTAAAGATAATAGTCTTCCAGTAAACTGGAGCATTGGACCATTTCCTTCACCCTTTCCTACCGACATTTTGATGATCTGATTTTAATGTGTGGGGGGCACAGGGAATTAAATACAGCCCATAAAACTAAGCTTAGATGAAACAGTGCTGGCTAAGTGGGTTCAGATAATTTTTAATGAGAATCTCAATTACACTCCTCCCCCCAATATGTTGAGACAAGTGACAGAACCGTTAGAATGGTAATCAAATTGGAAAGCTCAGGGAGAACAACAATTTCGTGATCAAATTGGGGCAAAACCGTGGACAAATGTGGGGTGACCTCCGCCAACTCCCTGTCACCCAAGAGTCAGGATTTGGGAAAGGTACAGTATTATTTCAGAGCCCGCTGTGACGGGCTGTGTGCTACCATTTACTTTCTTCACTCTGGATTATGATCTCAACCCTGGCAAGCAATTTCCCCAGCTCCTTATCTGACAACAAGCGAGTATGTAAATACCAATGGCTAGCGATGTTTAACTGCCTCAAACATTATTGATTTGTTGGCTGTTCTAAATTGTCTTCCTAGTCCAGGTCTTGTTTCCGAATTGTCTATTCTAGAGGTTTGATCCATGCCTCCGATGCTACAATACAATAATTGTTTTTTTAAAAAAGGCATTTAAGATGAACCAATTGATTTGCATATAAATTAAAATTACTATGCGTTGCCGATTCCGGTGTTTTATAATCATTTCGAAATTAGTACTTAACCACTTGAGCTAAAAGAATATATAAATGCCTGTATTGACTCACTAATGAATTACCCAATTAAAACGTCCGGGCAATGCTGGGCGCTGGAAAGATTGTTAAATCAAGACATATTACAGGAGGGATATGAAGATTAGAAAGGTAACAGACCAATATCTCGCACTCAAAACGGAGTTTCCGGTGATTCCCAGCTTTAATTTTGGAGCAGGGGTCTTTCTCCTCTGCTGTTAAAAAGATTTTGTGCTTGTTTGTGAGTGAGTGCATTCAAGTGGAAGGAACGCTCCCACGGCTACGGTGGCTCAGGCCCTTTGCTCGGACCGGGACCTTACAGTTCTAACCCAGGAGCGTTAAACTCTGGAAGACTCCGGGCCAGCCCTGGAGGTGCGTGGCCCCGCAAGTCGCCAGGCCAAGCTTGCTTTTTCTGTCTGCCCCTCCGGCAGGCTGGGCGCGCTATGGCAGTGAGCTTTCCGCGCAAACGGAGAGCTGGAACCAAAGCTGACATTTAATAGATATGCTAACTGAGCACTTACCTTCGTCCTGAGAATAGGAATAAAAGGTAGCTCTTCTTAAGAGAGGCGGTGCAAAGGCACGCTATAGGAGTTCAGAAAAGGCTGGCGGCGGGAAATCTGTAGCCTGGGGGCTAGTCAACATCCCCTTTCATTTCAAGCACTTATTGATTTGCTGTTGTCATCTTTGGCGACGCAGAAGGACACTTGAAAGAATTTCTGATGGGGCTCTGATCTGAGAAAGGAGGTGACCTGCCCAGGCTCCCACCAAATTCTTAATTACCACATCAACTGCTTTTTTTTATCCCCCACCCGACCTCCTTCCTTTTGCTTATTCTTAACTTTTTAATTATTCAGAAACTCCCTTACCTCTCAGTGGCTTCCCTTCTGCAGCAGTTTTCTATTCGAACCTTTTCCCCGCCTTTCCGTGGTAGGGCCTGTATATTGATCCCTCTGACCTTTGGCACATCTGGGCCCTCTGAAATCTCTCAATCTTTTCAGATTTGAGGATGGCAGGCTCCACCCTCTCCACTGTGTGCACACACTCAGAGATATGAAAACTTACACAGACTGCCTTCAAACCCAGGGTATCTAACAGATGTTCCCTTTCCAGTTCGTCTCTTGATCTGAAATGCCTGCCTGATTCCAACTTGGATACCACTCTTTCTTGCCCTTCCTTTTTCAAAGCAGTTTGGACATGTGTGCAAGTGAGCCCAGAACAGCTCCACCCATATTCTTTACCAAACTGTAAATAAAAGAAGAACTAATGAAGTAGATTGGCATATAGATTGCATCAAGAGCCCGAATCCCCAGTTTCTGGATTCCCCATTCAACTCTGGCTGTCATCTACATTGACAGAGTCATTCTAAGCAGAGGCCCAGAGAAACCTGCATTGTGGGACAACAGGTAAAGCCACAGTAAAAAGTGGAATAATTTTAAAGTCATTTTATTAGAATGTAAATTGTATTTCTGGGTTTTGTTCGTAACCACCTAGTTTTAATATATACAGAGTTAGACAGGAAAAAATAGGTCAACACAGTTATTGGTACTAGAGAAGACAAATTCCATGGGCTCCTCAGTGAAAAGAAGATCCCCAAAGTCTATAATTTTTGATCATTTAATTTCATTTATAATTGTGGGAATGAATAAGACACCAACTGCTTTATGTATTTCATTTACATCAACCAATTTGTGTTTCCATCAAAAGCAGTTATACAGAATTTCTTTTAACTTCTGGTAGCAAGTTCAGAAAATGAAGCTTACAGCCACCCTGAACTGGATACATCTCTTGAGCTGACCATTTCTGTAAGTGCAGGAATATAATATTGTTCTTCTATGGTCTTTTTGCACTCTTTTAGGGTTTGCAAGTCCTTATCAGGTCTGACATCACTGTTTGGGTCTACATTCATTACAAGCAAATTTGATTACTATGCTGATTTTAAAACAGCCTATTTGGCCAGCATAATCTTAGTTTTCAAATTATAAAAACCTTTTAATATACGAAGTTCCCAGTTTTTACCTCCTCTAGCTCCTTGCTCATTCAAAACTTCTATTTTAATTGGTGTAAGTAATAATAATTTGTATTACTATTTGTACTCCTTTTACTTTTTTGGAGATTGGGCTGGATTCCAGAGAGAACACCAGCATCACCACCACCACAAACAACAAAATCTAAAAGTAAAGCCCTTATTTGCATGATAATTGGTACTTGGAATGCTTCTGACTTACTCAATGCCACCTTATAAAGGTACCTTGTAAACTTTCTTGGAATTTCTAGCAAGAGCTTGTAGTAACTGGAACAACTCTCTGGGAAGATATCCTCTTTGATGGGCTTTCAGTTTCTGGAGGAATAGATTGAGAGCAATTAGGGAGGGAGGGGACATTGGAAATTGGCAGCTACGTCAGCTGAAACAAGCCTGGGTTCAGTAAGGTGACTGATGTTGTGGTTGATTCCCTACCCCGAGTTTCTCTTTAATTGGGGCACTGACTCTTCCCACTTTGGGATCCCAAGGCACTCGGTGTGTATGCAGATTCCTCCCTTGTGGTCTTCACCATGTGGTTTCGTAGCAGGTCTCTGGTTCAATGATATTTTATAGTCATAGCCCTCATATTCATTATCATGATCTCAATGTTTAGGCTTTTAGTGTATTTATATTAAACCTGCTTTATTAGTAAGCTGGAGCACACAGGAGAGATGGGGGCAAGTAAGGACTCAGCAGAGCTCAAATTCAGACATGTTTAAATGGCTTTGACTGTGTAAAGTGTGGCAATGCTTCCTGCTGCCCTAGCTTTCCACTCTAAGCTTCACATGTCCTCTGGCTAATGAAGTGTGATATAGGCCACATGCTAGGAATAATAGTATTTGTTGAGAACAAAGTGAACTCAGGAAACCTGGTATACACAAAATGCATCTAGTCATTTGAATTAGTAATAATGGTAAAAACTAATATTTACAGAGTGCTTAGTTAATTTAGCTATTGTACTAAACACTTTTGTATTGACAATCACACTTATTCCTTATGCCAACACTACAAGGTAGGTACTGTCATTTTACAAATGAAGACAGTGAGGTTTGCCATGATTGTGTCACTGGCCCAAGGTCACCCAGCTGGTTAGAGCACAAGCTTATAACTGCTGGAGGCCACAGTGGATAGGATATTGCTTCAGGTCACGTAGGCAGTAAGTGGCATAGTGGGAATTTGAATCTAGGTTTGTGTAACTCCAAAGTCCAAAATGTTAACTAGTACACTGAACCAATGGCAACTGGAACCAGAAGACCAGGGGCCTCTGGGGGAAGGAAATATAGAACTTACCTATGGAATATTTCATAAACAAAAGAATAATGCAGAGACAGGAAAGCAAATATATTTCTTGAGGGATGGAGAAAGTCAGAAATGTTTTAAATGCTAAAGAGGAGGAAACGAGAAATGATTGGATGAGAAAGCAGAAAAGCCAAACTCCGGTATTTGTCCTGGGCAGTTTAGGAAGAGAAAGGTAAGCTCAGGGATATTCCTGAGCCACAGGAAAATTAATGCTTAGATGGTCAGTTTGGACTAAGCCTAATATAGGATCTCAGGAATATGGTTTACTAGAACTGTTTCCCAGTAATTCCAAGGGAGAATAAAATCTCTGAATTGGGTTTAAGTAGTTTTATTCCAGAAGCAAAGAGAGATGGAAGTAAGGACCGAGTAATAAGAACATCTATATTGCAAGAACATGCAAGTTGAGTAGGAGTGAAATCTAGAAAAACCTGTTAGGACTCTGGTTGTTGTGTTAAACCATGCTACACTCTAAGTAGAAATCAGATTTTTATTATCATTACTTGCCTAGGTCTAGTTAGCAACTCTATTATTGTAGTAAAGTCATTTGAAATTTTAAGAGAAATGACTTCTTGTGCTGAAGAAGACATCTTGGGTGGAAGGATGTCAGCAGACAAATGGAGTGCAAAGATAGTGATTCCAAGGACATAGCCTGTGGGGAGCAATACTGGATTACATACCCGTTGTTTGTGGTAGAATGTTAGCTAGGGGAGAACACCAGGTAGCTTTCTACAAGTCCATTTTATCACAAAAAGACAGGACTGATTCTAAAGGTTATTCTCAATTCAGGTTTGTCCCATTATTGAAAATGATCCAAAATTGGATTCATTTTGGCCTTTTCCAGGAGGGATAGATAAATATAATTTGTATATATGGCTTTTCAGTTTTAGGAAGCATAGGAGGAGAATGAAAGAATCAATCCAGTCTCCTGTTTTCTGGTAAAAACTCTCATACCTGTGCTGTTGCAAGAATTCAAGACTATCTCGTCCAGAATGCTGTGGTATTTTTGAAAGTAAGGTTTGAGGGCACACAGAGCCTTATTTTCTATCTCTACGCTGTGGATCTCATTGTTTTTTCTAAATGGGAAAGAGAAATTAGAATTCATAGAAAGTAAGGTCTGGAAAGGATCTAGAGGGTACTCCTCTCCCTCAGCCTATGTTTAAATTACTTCCAGAAATATAGCCAGCTACACTTTTCAGTAAAGAGCCTCCTACGGTCCCTTGGTAATGCATTCTCATGCTTCATAATTTCACAGCTACACTGTATATCTATTGACTAAACTCCAAGTACTGAAGAAAATGATGTCACATCAAAAAGCTCTAATTAGTAGGGGGCATGTTTTCCAGAGTTCTCCAAATATTTCACATCTTTACCCTAAAAAAAGATGAAAATATTATTAGCCTAATTTAACAGATGGAAAATTCTGTCATAGAGACTTTTAGAGAGTTACACCTGGTTATGCAGCGTGATGCCTGAAAGAACTAAATTAAAAACAAAGTCAGGAAATTCTATGTTCAGGGCTTTTCTAGCAGACACATCACTTCTTGGGGGCTGGTTATTATCTTTCTGCCTGAGTAAAGTACATGTTTGATTGTAACTCTATCTGTCCTTCTGTTTGTCTGCCTGTGAGTAGTTTATCTTTTAATCCATCAATTTATCTCCTTGCTAGTTTTTTAAAACACCATAAGTTAACCAATGTTGATAAAATTTCACCCTCACCATGAGTGCTACTTGAGCAGATTGAGATGGTTGTCATATTTTTCAAATATCACGTGTAACAAACAGTGCTGCTACTGTCTTAGCGTCATGACTTTGTTCTTATCTGGAAATTGTACAAATACCACACCTTTTGTCATGACAGGACCACTTCCACTTATTAGGACTTTTGATATTTGTGCTGTCACTTGGGAGAATGTTGATCATTTTGTTCATGCCACTCTTGAGGTTATAACAACCGCTTTTTTGTTTAGCTGTGTCTTTTTTTCCACAGGTGAATTTAGTTTTTTTTCTCATGCTTGATTTCAAGAAACTGGTGCTTCACTGAAAGATGTTTAAATTTCCTGAGAGAAAATGTTGGAGCAAGAATAATTTGTCATGTACTGTCCTTATCTGAGTATTAATGTTCTTTCAACTTCATATGTTCCCAAACTTTTTGAGAATTTCTTTTTCTTGAATGTAATTTATGAATCAAAAGTGATCGTAATCCTCAAAATATCATGTTGTCCACAGTAAATATATACAATTTTTATTTGTCAACTAAAAAAAGCAATAGGGTTCTTACTCCTATTTTTGATATTTGCTCTTTTTATCCTCTCCTTAAGTATTTCCTTTCTTCTCTCAGAGATGTATTCACTGAGAGCATTTTGTTATTTTTCTCTCCCCGCAGCCATGCATGATTAAAGCTGTGTTCTTGAAATTCTTTATTCTTTTTGTTACAACTGATAACTCATTCTGCTTTTCATTAATTCATTAATGTCATTCTACTGGTTTCTGATTTACACAAATCAAATAGACTCTAGAAAACTCAATAAAAATAAAAATAATGTTTTCCATCCTGAAATATTTATTTATTGTTTTCCTCTAGGGTACATATATCATATTCCTTTTCCTCATACTCCACCCTTTCTGAATCCACAAGAATGTGTTATTGAATACAGAGAAAACAATTTAAGAAAGGAAAAGGAATGACCTGCCTAAAATGAGGAAAAAGCAGAGTCGAGGTCTAGGATTGTGGCTCAACAAGATGATTCAGTTACTTTCTGGTAGCTTTATTTTTTGGTAATTTCTTAAGCTGAGTTCTGGATGATGTAAATAATATTTTTAGATCTTTAATGGGCATATGCTGAATTAAAAAGAAAAATTCATGGCATCTTTTAACTATGTGCAAATGAGCAAAGAAAAAGGAAAGAAAAGGAGTGGTTAAACTGACATGGTAGGGTTCAGGATTGGGGGAAGAAGAAAGAGTAATAGAGAGAGTGGAATAGTTAAAAAAAGAATGAGATCATGCCTTTTGCAGAAATATGGATGGAGCTGGAGGCCATTATCCTTAGCAAACTAAATCAGGACCAGAAAACCAAATAACGCATGTTCTCACTTATAAGTGGGAGCTAAATGAGGAGAACTCATAGATACAAAGAGAGGAACAACAGACACTGGGGCCTATTGGAAGGTGGCGGATGGGAGAGGGGAGAGGATCAGAAAAAATAACTATTGGGTACGAGGCTTAGTACCTGGGTGACAAAATAATCTGTACAACAAATCCCTGTGACAGGTTTACCTACATAACAAACCTGCACATGTGCTCTGAACCTGAGATACAACTTAAAGAAAAAGAGAGCGCACTTGTTTGCAAATTGGCTTTAGCAGACTGTTTTTTGAGTCCTTTTTGTTTCCCAAATTGAATTTAAGTGGTATTACATTTTTAAATGAAAACTTTACTTCTAATTATAGGTGAAGTTAATTTCTCACCTTCCCAACAATTTTTTTATCATCTTTTGTATTGTAAGCAAGGCAAAGATTTAGTTTAAATGTTGCTAGCTTAGTTTATTTTTTAAAAAATATATCTTCTGAGAGGTTTGAGAAAACTAAGAAAGTATATTTTGTTTAGCCTTTCCAAATACTATTTCCCTGGAAATAGTATTTTGTTTAGCCTTTCCAAATACTATTTCCTAATCAGTGAGTTAGTCCAGACCTCAGAGGGCTCCTGGAATTAGAAAGAAGGCAAGGATGAACATCAGGTTCAAGATTATTCTTATGTTGCTTTACTACCAAACCAGAAAATCTGGATGTCCTGCAGGCAGGCATGTTTATGAGAGTTACTCAAAAAAGATATGCCCCCTGAAGTGCCAAGTTTAGTGATCACGCAGTCCATGTGGAATGAGGAGTCTGCCAGGACAGAGGAGCTTGAGTTGGGAGGCTGGGGTAGAAGCATGATAACCCTCCAGGTTCCCCTCTGTTACCATGTACCAGACTACTTGCTGCCCCATGGGAACCAACATCTGTGTTCTATTTATTACTAGCTCATTGGCCTATGCCTGTCTGGCTATGGCCTATGGATAGTGAAAGATAAAGAGTAGAGTTGAGTGGGGAGTAAATAAAAATCAACATTTTTATGTGAAATAAAAAATTAATTCTAAAATAGAATGAAATACTGATCTGGATCATATTCACTGATTTTAATTGATTTATCATTTCTGATTTCCTACCTTAGGTTATAAGCAGATACCTGAAAATTGTGAAATTGATATAAACCCAGATCTTCAAAGCAACTGATGACCAAGGGGACTGTGATATAATAGCCACATATTCTTTACCAGTGTTAGGTTTTAGTTAATAAACATTACTATGGAGCTGAAAAATACCTCACTGTTTTTGAAGTCATTGACTGTGGTTTTCGCTGTTATTTTGAACAATGGATTTTTTTTCTGAGGTTGTTATTCTTACCAGGATTTTTCCTTTATATTTGAGTTCACAGCTATAAAAAAATACAAATAAGCTGTCATGAAACATTTAAGAAAGCTAAATCTGATCTCTCTATCCTACTTAGAAGTAAAATGATTAAACTATATGTGGCGTTTTGTTTTATTAAAGTTTTCATTTTAAAAGACAGTTTAAAATAGTAACATAATTGGGAATATATTCTCTGTGCCTAACCCTGTATTCTCTATGTAGAGAAATGAAAAAATGCTTAAAAAATTCAAAATAGGAGGTTCATTTGAAGCATTGCGATTTTAAATAAACCACCCTGTATAAATGTGTGCATAAATATTTATGCACATATATACATACATTATATATCAACATTTCCTCTAAGTTCTATCTGCTTATAATTTTGATAACAAAAACAAATAAAGAATAGGATAAATAATAATCAAGATGGGAAACCCTCTGACTCATTTAGACAACTCATATGAATTCTTTAAATGTCCCCAATTTATTTATCAAAGATGTTGTCTCATTCCCTAGTGAGTTCATGTAGCCCTTATTTAAGATTTAGCCCAAAATTTAACTGCACACTTCACTCAGTATAGGATAATGCTTAAAATGTGAAAACAATATTTTATATTTTTAGAAAGCGTTCTCTGAAAAGTGTTGGTGAATTATAAAAAACCAAGCAATCCAGTTCAGACATTCCCTGCCTCTCCTATCCCTAATCTCTTCATTCATAGAGGTGATTTTCCTATAATAGTAATAGCTAGTTAGAATATATTTAATAAAGGATTGACTCTTAATTTAAATAAGAGTAAAGTCCCTATGGTAAGATTCTTAGTAAGGGTTATGAGGGAGCTTTTTATTTTTCCTCCCCAAGAACATCTTGGCGTAGTTATACATAATTAAAAAAGTGTATGGCTTTATCGGAAGCTGACTCTTCTCTGGAATAATGTTGAGAGTTAATGAAAACCTCCTTGTCTCAGGCCAATTAAAAAAAATAAGTGACATGGTCTTCCAAGTATAAAATGATAGGCTGGAATATTTTTAGATGACATATAATGTGTCAATTCTAACCACTGGATTGTTTTGGCCTGAGGAAGTTAAAAAATCCCCCAACTCTTTTCATTCATTCTTATATTCTGTGTCAAAAGGGCTGGCTAATTATTCTGTATTAAAAATACAGCAAATTTATGCCAGGTGCAGTGGCTCATACCTGTAATCCCAGCACTTTGGGAGGCAGAGGCAGGCAGACCAGCTTGAGGCCGGCAGTTCGAGATCAGCTTGGCCAATATGGCAAAACCCTGTCTCTACTAAAAATACAAAAAAATTAGCCGGGCCTAGTGGCACATGCCTGTAGTTCCAGCTATTCAGGGAGGCTGAGACACAAGAATCGCCATTGCACCCCAGCCTGGGCGACAGAGTGAGACCCTGTCTCAAAAAACAAAACAACAACAACAACAACAAACCAAAAAACAAATTTAAAATTTGTGAAAAATGTTATTTCTCCTTATGAACATAAAGCTCCCTATGAACCTTAACTGTTCTAGGTTATAGACAGTATTCTTTGCTACTTGCTTTCGTAGTTTATTTATATTAAAAGAAACTAAAACTATTAACAGTTGTACTCTCATAATGAAGACAGCACCCTTGAGTGATAGGCCTACAGCTTGTTAAGTCGTTTATCTTGTAAAAACCAAAACCAAAACCAAAACACCATGCAGAGTAATAAAATGGAGCATTAGTGAAGGTCAAAATTAAATAATATTTTAAAAGACAATTTTATGTTCTCCCAAGTACTGTATACACATAGCAACTTGGGTCAGGCTCCTAAGTGTTGTCAACTTTTTTTTTTTTTTTGAGACGGAGTCTCTCTCTGTAGCCCAGGCTGGAGTGCAGTGGCGCCATCTTGGCTCACTGCAAGCTCCGCCTCCCGGGTTCACGCCATTCTCCTGCCTCAGCCTCCCAAGTAGCTGGGACTACAGGCGCCCGCCACCACGGCTGGAAAATTTTCTATATTTTTAGCAGAGACGGGGTTTCACCGTGTTAGCCAGGATGGTCTCAATCTCCTGACCTCGTGATCCGCCCGCCTCAGCCTCCCAAAGTGTTAGGATTACAGGCGTGAGCCACCGCGCCCAGCCAGTGTTGTCTACTTTAACTACCTGTGCTGCTCCAGTTAATAGGAAAGTGACAAATATGTAGATAAGCAGCTAGAGAGAAATAAATACATCTGACTGAGAACTCTGGGAGCTCACTTGAATTAGTTGAAATTTCTAGTCAGTTGCCTATGTTTTTAATTTTTTTAAAATAGTATCAGTGCAACCAAAATAAAAGTATCTAAGTTATCCACATACTTTCATATGCAGTTAGTGAAACTTTTAAATACTTTACTCAAATTCTTTAATATTACCAATATTCCTTTTTTCTTTACATTTGCTTTATTTTATGTGAGCAAAGATATTTATGCCATTGGACGTAAAACAAGGAAATTCGTTTCTCTATTAAAATAGTACTACAAACTTATGCTTACATCAAAATAAACTGCTATCAAGACACAGGAACTAGGAATACAGAGATGGAAGGATACTTGCCCCTCTTGAATTTTAGCAGCAGGAGCAGGACTGGTCCTGCAGTGCTCCTGACAGTAACGTAGGCTGTCATAAGCAATAGTATGTGGGAAAGCGTGGGACGTGATACATGGGACCTCAAGAACTCATCAAATCAGTTTCATCTTCTGACCTCAGGCACGACGGTCTCGGTGCCACAATGCCAAGCTGAGGTGCATGTTCTCCCTCGATTCTGTAGATACCACCATCCCAAGATGGTGATTTCTGCGTTCCCAAAGCCGAGTGGGTCCACAGCCCGCAAGGCCTGGCTCAACAACTCCACTTGCAAAAATTATGACTGGACCTGGTTAAAGATCATGTTCACCCACCGTGCCTCCACCAAAGAGTCACACCGGAAACCAGGGCTGGATGTGAACTGGTGGTGGTGGGAATGATAACCTAAACTCCTTCTCTAGGGACCAGGCCAGCAGCATTGGTTTTTCCCGCTGGGCTTCAGCAGCACCAGCGTCTTCTGTCTACCATGCTGGGTCTAGCAGCTCTCGTGGGACCTCCACCAGCCAATAATCTTGAGAATTAAGGAATGAATGTAATTATTTTTCTTATAAATATGGAGAACACAAAACTAGCAAAATTTCTACATGATTATCTGACTACTTACGTATACGCAAGCTTTAGGTATTCTTGTGTGTGCACAGAACATATATGTAGCTTTATAGGCCATGGGCTAAGTATTAATTATCTTTGTGTTCCTATCACAGTCCCTTGATATTAATAATTGCTATTTGTTTTTTGGGGTTTTTTTTTGTTTGTTTGTTTTAAGAAGGAGTTTCGCTCTTGTCGCCTAGGTTGGAATGCAATGGCACAATCTAGGCTCACTGCAAACTCTGCTTCCCGTGTTCAAGCTATTCTCCTGCCCCAGCCTCCCAAGTAGCTGGGATTCCAAGTGTGCACCACCACGCCTGGCAAATTTTTGTATTTTTAGTAGAGACGGAGTTTCACCACATTGGCCAGGCTGATCTCGAACTCTTGACCTCAGGTGATTGGCCCACCTCAGCTTCCCAAAGTGCTGGGATTACAGGCATGAGCCACCGCGCCTGGCCGCTATTTGTTGAATGGAAAAATAAATGGATCAAATTGACCAATTGACCTTGTGATGAAAATAATCAGAACCTAAAATTGGCCTATCTGGCAGTTGTGATATAATAACAATTGGACTGACCTGTGGGCAGCTTGGTTCAGTTCTTTCTTTCTTTTTTTTAAATGCTTCCCTGAAGTCAAATTGCCCATCATTGATCCCTTACATGGGCTCACAAATATGTCTTATCTATTGGTTTATCACACAAGCAGGCTCTTCACCAGGCAATAGTGAACGTGGCACTCTTTTATGTTCTTTTCTTGAAAATTATTTTGCAGTTAAGTATTTTATTTATTCAGACTAATGCTTCTCCCATTCCCAAGACTGAAGCAATAAAGTTTTATTTATATGTATATGTTTTGGATGATAATCATAGTGCACTCATAATGATTATATTATACTGATATGCATATATGAGTATGCAAATTGCATAGCAACTTACTATTATTGTTCCCATTTTGTAGATGAGAAAACTATGGCTTAAAGAGGGACAGTAACTTTCCCAAGATATCACAAAAGCAGAGAGTGAGCAAATCGTCACCATCTGGAATGCAGATCTAGGCCTGTCAGACTTTAGAGCCCAAACCTTCACACTCACTTTTAACTGCCTCTGTTAATGAAGAGTGTAATTCTAGCACATGCTCTTGCTGGAAATTTCATAATTATAGTTAGGAAGCATAGAGTGTGTTTTCTTGTATAACAGCTACAGGAAAGGGCTAGGCAAGAAAAAAAATCACCAAATACTAATAAAACACGGTTTTATTTCAGAAAACATTTATTATGCATCTTGATATCTTGGAGCAATAGAAGTGGTCACAATATGTAAACTTGAGTGAATGTGACAATGGATCGGCTTCTTCATTTTAAGACTATGCATCTTCCCATCATTACTTTAAATCACCTCTAGCAGCAAATTTGAGTGAGATCCTAGATTTTGGTCTGGCTTAGGTAAGAAACCAGAGTCTATCTCCTCTTGGATTCAGTCCTTGGCTGTATTTCTAAAATGTTTGAACCAGATTCCCTGTCTGAGTCAGCTGATGGGGCCTAGTTTCATTTCAAGAGACTTCAGAATCAGCATCTCTAATCTCACCTCCTAATCTCCCTTCATCTCTTTGGCCATATTCAAACATACTTTGACCTACATTCTACAATTAGAGACAAAATAATTGGAAGGGGGCTTAGTCAATGAACAAGTATAAATGACAAGTTCTTTGCCTGGAAGAGTTGCCATCAAGAGTGAAAAGAAAAGTACAGGAAAGCAGGTGAAAAGTGAACTTCAAACACTTTACAACTTTGTTTAAGGTCAGATGTGCTTACTTTCACCTGGGCAGGGCAAAGAGAAGGAAACAACCTATGCCAGGCAGCTGCTACTAAATGCTTTCCATACCTTTTCAAGTTGGTTCCTCACCATTTCTCCCTGGAATTTACATTGTTACAGTTTTCCCCTTTCCACGTGAGCACACAGGTTCTGGAAAGTTAAGGGACTTGTTCAAGATCTCATAGAGTTAGAACTGATTTCAGGTGGAATTAAATCCAGAAGCCATACTTTTCACCACAACGTCCCCCTAGCACAGTACAAAATCGGGTGTGTGTCAAGCAGTTATGAACCGCCACCAGGCAGCTCTGCTTTAGATTAGTTATGCTGGGTTTTTTTCTTCTTTCCCTCCTCCTTTTTTTTCTTTTTTGCTAGAATAGACTTTGCAAAAATCAGTTTAATTTTTTGAGGGGTTCGTTGATTTTAGCATCACTGAAAGATTCTGGAGATCATTGCTTTAGTTAATGCAATGGCTTATTTATTGATGTAATGAGGACTTCTTTTATGGGGAAAAAGAAGGCATTCAACAGTGTTTGCCAAATGAAAGACTAGCTGTGATAACATTACTTTTGTCTGTTTTCTGTGTGCATGCTGGGCTTTAAAATATGCTTGGAATTTTCTGTAGAATCATAAGATGCTGAAGTTGGAAGGGTACTCAGAGAGCATCTGAGCAATCCCTCATTTACAGATAAGAGAACTGAAGCCCTGAAAGGATAAATGAATCATCCATGGTCACATGCTTGGTTGGCAACATGGTTGGGACTGGGACCCAGTGCTTTTTTCTGACCTTCTCCTCAGGGTATCTCTACAATGTCTCATGTTAGTATTTTGCTTGATGAGGGAGGGACGTGGGATTCTAATATACTGTGCTAATGCAGTATAGTTTTCCATTTTTCTCACTTTTTTTTTGGTGGGGTATAGTGGGTTGAATGTTGGTACCAAAAAAAAAATATGTCCACATCCTACTCTCTGGAACCTGTGAATATTAATTTATTTGGAAAAAGGATCTTTGTAGACATAATTAAATTCATAGTTTGAAATGAGAAGACAATTTTTTCCATGGACAGATTGGGGAGGGGGATGGTTTCTGGATGAAACTGTTCTACTTCAGATCATCAGGCATTAGATTCTCATAAGGAGTGCGCAACCTAGACCCCTCGCATGCACAGTTCACAGTAGGGTTCCTGCTCTGATGAGAATGTAATGCCGCCGATGCCGCCGCCACTGATCTGACAGGAGGCAGAGGTCAGGTGATAATGCTCACTGGCCCGTTGCTCACCTCCTGCTGTGTGATCTGGTTCCTAACAGGCCACAGACTGGTACAGGTCCATGGCCGGGGGTTTGAGGATCCCTGAGAGATCCAGATTGCATCCAGAGAGAGTGCAGCCCTGCCAACACTTTCATTTCTGACATCTGTCCTCTAAAATTGTGAGAGAATCAAATTCTATTGTTTTAAGCCACCCATTCTGTAGTAATTTGTTACAACAGACACAGGAAAGTAATGCATGGGGGAACAGAGAGCTAGGACTGATGTTGTTTTAACCACTTCTGACTTCACAGAGTCTAAGGAGGAGTAAGTGTCTGCTGGGGTGGGGGTGGACAGTTGAAGAGCTTCAGGAACAGATGAACGTTTTTATTGCGATGGAGACTGAGAATAGTGACCTTTCTGCAAATAACAGAAAAAGTCCCCCAAAGAAAGACCTGGGGACATCTCATCAAATAAAGTGAAGGAGGGAAGGACAGACCATTCCCTGTTTGATGCTCACACTCCTTCAGTCCTTGGCGCCCTCTCACTACTGCTTCCTGGATGTCTGTGAGCCCTTCTCGCCAAGCCACACGCCCTGAGAACTCTCCTCCTTCTCTTCTAACCTTCTGTAGCCTCTGTCTCATTTCCCCAAGGCTCTATTCCTAGTGCAAACCCTCACCTCCAAATTAATATGTTGCAAGGAGATAAAGGCTGATTGTAATTCACTGTTACCGTGTGTTACTTCCATTTATCTTCTACAGCCCACTTTGTGTGAATTAACTAAAGGAGGAGAGAAGTCAGTGGGGATCTTGTGCAGGTTCCACACCAGCCTAAGGGAGAGACATTTTGGAGAGAGAGGAATATTCCTCCTGTCCTTCCTGCCATACCCCATAAAGATCAGCCCAGATTATGAAAAGCACTGGTTGTAGGTATTTTCTTATAGCCCTAGATGTATTGGGAGCAGAAACCTGAATGTAGAAGAAAAGAAATTCTTCCATTTAGGCTGGAGTTCCTCAGAAAGTTCTACGAGTGATATGATATTGCTTGCTCCTCAGTGAGCTTTTTACTTAGTTATGATTTTCTTTTCTTTCAATGACTTACCCTTTATGTGCCTCAAGTTTCCTCATCTGTAAAATGAAATAGTGCTAATGAGAACACATGAACATAGGGAGGGAACAACACACACTAAGGCATGTCGAGGTTTGGGGTCGAGGAGGGAGAGCGTTAGGAAAAATAGCTAATGCATGCTGGTCTTAATACCTAGGTGATGGGTTGATAGGTGCAGCAGACCACTATGGCACATGTTTATGTAACAAACCTGCACATCCTTTACATGTACCCTGGAACTTAAAATAAAAATTAAAAATTTTAAAAATGAAATAGTACTCACCACATACGCTGGTTGTATTATATGAGTTAATCCAGATAATGCTTTATAGCAGTGCCTGGCACATAGTGAGAACTCAATAAATGTTAGCTATTATTCTTTATCAAGGAGAAACACCTGATTCCCTATTTCTGTGAGAAGGGATGATCCCTATGTACACTCAGTTTTTTGACTCATTCCTTACTCTTCCTCCTGGTGACCTGCTTGGCTAGTGACAGCCATTATTCCAATTTCTTTGCTTGTAGAGGTCTATTCATTAAAATTACTGAGTGTGGGGAGATTTGGTATCTCCTTTTTTTTTTCTTTCACTCTCCACTCAGAGCAGCAGGAGACAGTGACTTGAGTAAGTGTGTCTGCTTTGTGGTCTCAAAGTTTCCCTCAGGTGGGCTGTTCTGAGTCTAGTAGACTGAGACTGAGAATGAGCAAGCACATGTTTCTTACAGTAAGCAAAGTTCTTCTATCTAGTCTGGATTAGTAACATAATATTTTTGTTTATTCACTGACTCTTTTGTCTTACTTCTTATTGGCTTAGTGCTCACATTGGGGTCCCTCAAAAACACCAACATAATTATTATTGTCAGGGAGAACTTCAGCCAGGGTGGAAAGAATCTTGTTTGAGGGAAAAGTCTGTGTCTAAGCAGGTGCATCAAATGATTCCCTGTGTTTAAGGCGGAGTGCAATGCTGAAGATCTGTGTTCCCTTCTACCTCCAAGACACCAAGTTAGTGAGAACTATCTTACTTTCCCGTCACACTTCTTAAGTCAATCAGCACCAAAAGAACATCTGCAGTCATTCTTTCTTCAAGCCCACGTGCTCTCCTGAAAGAAGCCTTTAAGGATACACCAACAATTCCATGCTGTGGAATGAGTAAAATTGTGCAGTGAAGGGATCACAAACAGAAGATTTTTATTCCTGAGCAAGCAAAATGAAAATTCAGCAAACAAATCAAAGAATCAAGATAAAAACCTGAAAGATGAAATGAGAACATGAACTATATAACAATGAACATAAAACAAAATCCTTCCACCACCCTGGCAATTACTTTGGTCCTGTGGTGAGTGAGAATGAGAAAAATACTCCTAGAGGAAAGAAGTGCTCAAAGTTGTAGGAATACTAATGTCTTGCATTGATGTATTACTTTATACTGTACAACGTGCCTTTACATTTGTCTCCTTTGTTGGTTTTTATACTAATTCTATGGTGTTTTTTGGGGAATTTGATCTCCTTATTATAGATGTAAAAAGAAAAGATGCTCTGAGAGAGATAATATAATCTCTGACAGCTATAACTGGTCAGATGACTAGTGTGTGATCCAATAACAGATGAAAGTACTCTATCTATTTTTTTCTTTTATATAGAGTCTTGCTATATTGCCCAGGCTGGCCTCAAACTATCCTCTCACCTCAGTGTCCTGAGTAGCTGGGGATACAGGCATGTGCCACTGCGCTTGGCTGAAAATTCTCTATCTCTTATCACACAATTGTTTCTACACTTTTGGTAGTGGTGGGACTAATACTTCAGCTAGTTTTTTTTAGTATTCTGGGTTCTATGAATCTGAACTCTAATTGTAACATTGAAAAAATCATTCTCTACCATTTTGGAAACACAGACATTCTTCCATCTGCCTGAACTCAGAAGATTTCCCTTCATAAGTTTATTAATGAGAGATTTGGATTTGTTCATTTTAACAGTGATTCAGAATAAGAGGATTGTCTCTTTAAATAAACTCAAGGGTTTAATAAAGAACAGTTTCATTGATAAGAGTAGAAGTATAACCAGGAACAGAACAATTGAAGGCCTAAAATGGTTTAGCTGTGGGTTCTACCATAAAAACAATCTTGTTTTTAGGATTTATACAAGAGCCCTCAGATGTGGATCAATAAAGAAATTAACATGGTACTTTAAGTACAAATATACATGTATTTTAGAAAGCAGTGGTCAGTTCTTACCTCACTGAAACTTGGTTTTGCTCTTTGTGGATGGCTGTCACCAGTGGGTTGTGCTGGAACTTCACCTATCAAGGTATTAAGATGTATTTTCCCCACTTACTCTTTGGCAATTGTCATCAGCTCCCTTGCTTTTTAGGTGCAATCCTGAAGGGTACTGGATTCTGTGGTTGTGGTCAGCAGTCTGTGACAAGGGTTTTCTGAATCCACTCTTGTTAAAGCCATCTGACAATCTACCTGTATGCAGTCTTTTTTGTTTCTGAATTTCTTTGTCTTAGCTTTCTATCTCCAGTGAGGAATTGGGAGACAGCCTGCTACTCTAGCTGGCATATTGGGGCTTGTTTCCTGGTCTTATCTGTATAAGATCTATTTCCTAGAGCTGGGTTTTCTCCCCGACCCCCTTTATATTACATTAAGCTACCTCTGTAGTCAATATTGTGGTCTGTGATGGACTTTGACTGTTACCACTACAGGAACTCCAGAAGCATTCCTTGCTTTCGTCTTCACTTAGGGAGCATTCCTTCCTTTCTCTCAGCTTAGTTTGGATGACCATTGATCACTGCCTACATGGGACTTAAGTTGTTGTCATTCAACAGTGTTTTTTTTGTTTTTGTTTTTGTTTTTTTTTTTTTGCCGCAGTTTGAGGTAAAATGTTTGAGGAAAAAGTCTGTCTGAGCAGGATGGGCCAAATAATGGGTACTTATAAGAGAAAGGAGAAGGAGACTTGAGACACAGAGACACAGGGGAGGAGGCCATGTGAAGACAGAAGCAGAGATTGGAATGATGCTGCCACAAGCCAAGGGATGCCAGGAGCCACCAGAAGCTGGAAGGGGCAAGGAAGAATCCTCCATGTCTTGCCTCATGATACCCCTTCCTCACCAACACACATTGCCTGAGCCTCAGGTGCCTTTTCTCAGTTCCCTGAAGAAGCTAGACTCTTTGTCTTAGCACATTCACACATGCTATTCTAGAGCCTATGGATATGGTGACTTTGGACTTCTGAACACTGAGATAATAAATTTCTGTGGTTTTAAGCCACCAAGTTAGTGGTATTTGTTATGACAGCCTGAGGAAATTAACACAAAGGATAACACTTTAAAAAATAAATAGGAGATTTATCTAAGTTATAAAATGATAATTTAAACACAGACCCAATAATTTCTTCTTGGGCACTATGTTTATGCCAGGCTTGGAAGAAGTCATTAAAACCATTAATATGTCATCTAGAAAAAGAGGCATTTTCTCCCAGAGTTTATGTATCTTGCTGAGAGTCTTCATGGGAGCAATCTTATTAACATATCAGAAATCCAACTGTGCTCATATATAGGTATAAGTTTCCCTTTGAAGATTTATCAACTGGCTAAAGTTCATCAATGAAAATCAAATTAATGGTTTTTGCTTAAAATAATACCATCTTTCCTGGGCAAATAGATGAGTATTTCATTCTTTTCAGAAGGAACTTAGCTTACATAGTAACAAAAAACAGCACTTAGCTTTGGCAATAAATAAGCTATTACAAACACCATTTATCAATTTTGCAGAATGGCACTGTATTAAAATCAGTTATTAAAATAACACACTGGGTATTGACTTACTTTTATAAGTGTATCAAACTGATTTACCACTAGTATGAATGGGCCTTAGTCAGGTGACAGTGCATTTTGTGTGCGTGATTTACAAATATATGCTTCATTTTCATACAAATTTTATTAAATTATTCCACCAGTGGGAGATTCACTAGTTGGTGAGCATTTTACTCTCAATATATCTCTTGCGGGGTTTAGGAGGAGCATTCATTCCCATGTTGATTGGGATAAATTGGTTCTTGTCACTCTTTCTCACCTCCTCTCTAGACTTCTAAATACTAAATGGCTTCCTCTTGTTCTTAGAATGTGATACACTGTTTTGATTTGCATGTCTCTAATGATCAGTGATGATGAGCTTTTTTTCATATGTTTGTTGGCTGCATAAATGTCTTCTTTTGAGAAGTGTCTGTTCATATCCTTTGCTCACTTTTTGATGGGTTTTTTTTTTCTTGTTGTAAATTTGTTTAAGTTCCTTGTAGATTCTGGAAATTAGACCTTTTTCAGATGGGTAGATTGCAAAATTTTCTCCCATTTTGTAGGTTGCCTGTTCACTCTGATGCTAGTTTCTTTTGCTCTGCATGCAGAAGCTGTTTAGTTTAATTAGATCCCATTTGTCAATTTTGGCTTTTGTTGCAATTGCTTTCGGTGTTTTAGTCATGAAGTCTTTGCCCTGCCTATGCCCTGAATGGAATTGCCTAGGTATTTTTCTAGAGTTTTTATGGTTTTGCGTTTTACATTTAAGTCTTTAATCCATCTTGAGTTAATTTTTGTATAAGGCATAAGGAAGGGGTCCAGTTTCAGTTTTCTGCGTATGTCTAGCCAGTTTTCCCAGTAAGAAAGAGTGTCAGGAAGGTCTACTTTATCTTTTGTTACTTATACAAGAAACTGATCTCAATTGGAGAAGGAATGTCCACATTTCTATCTTTTCCATAAATAAAGCCCAAGGCATTCCTACACAGTCAGGCATGCAGGAATTTCTTAGCTCTATTTATACTAATGCTCTTGAAGAACAAATATCCTGGTTAGGTAGGAAACAGGCTGTGCTGGAAACAAGCAGCTTGCTGTGGTGGAAAATGTGAAAAGTGAGGGCTCTTCTAACTGTCCCTAGAGTTCGGTCTTGCCTGCCCATCTTCCACACACTCAACCAAGCTTGCCCATACTACCATTATAGCAATTATTGTACTACATTTGTCTGCCTGTATTTCTTGCCTCTAGCCAGTATACTCTTTGAGGACAGAATGATACTTTTAATAGGCCTTGGTATCCTTAATACACTGCATGCTTCCTGGATCACTGTGGGCATCCAGTTGCAATCTGTCAATAAACAAGGCTTTTGAGTCTGATAGACTTGACTTGTGTTAGCATTCTGGCTCCGTCATAAGTGGGATTTTGGGAAAGTTGCTTTATCTCTTGGGACAGTTATTTTTTTCATTTGTAAACTAGAGATGACTGTTTAAGTATGTTGCAAGATTGCTTACTTATCTTAACCAGGTATGGTAGATTGAATTATTAGTTTAATTTCTACATCCCTCCCTATACCCACGCCTTTTGCTATATGACTTTGCATTTTCTCACTAGATGCACTCTCCTCCTCTTTACCTGGACTCAGGCATGTGGCTTGCTTTTGTCTATGGGATGTTAGCTGATGTGACACAAGCAGGGGCTTGAATGGTGCTTTGCCATTGTGCTGACATCTTGTACCAATGCCACTTCTACAAGAACTTCCCTTGGAAGGTATTGCTCCTTCAGTCTGAGCTCCATAATTAATACATCAATGCATACATGTGGAGTTGACTATAGCACAACATGCAGCAAGGAGCTAAGCCCAGTCAGACCCACAGCTAGGAGCAGAGCCATTTTAACAACTGCAGAGTGAAGCAAAGTTGCCCCAGCTGACTGGCAAATTTGGAAGTGAGAATTAAATCCTTCTGGTCATATGCCACTGAGATTTTGTAGTTTGCCATGCAGGAATAGTTAATTAATGTAACAAGGTCTCCCAGAAAATGGACTGAGGCAAAAGCTTATGTAACACCTGTTTTAAATAAAAGGACATGATAAAGGAATGCAATCCCAGGGAAACAGGAGTAAGGGAAAAAGGGTGACGAAGGAAGAAGCCAGTATAAGTAGGTGTTACCAAGCCTGCATCTACTTGGTGTACAGACAGTCTCATGGCACTGTCTCCTGAAAGGGCATGTGAATTGCTGCATCCTAGGGAAGTTTATGGAGATGGCAAGGAAAACAATTTATCTACTGTTTCCTAGTCTCCATGTTTGTTGCATGGGTATTAACTCTCTTTCACTTTGGAGTTGCTCATGTGTGTTGAGGAGGAAGTCTTGAACATTTTGTACTCCAGGCAGCAGGGACTCTGCATGATGAGAGGTAAGAGGTGTGCAGAGCATGAGGGGTGAGGAGCTCTGGGTGGTGTTGAGGTACAGTGAGCCTAGGTGGCTGGGAGGAGCTCCTGTGGAGATGGTCATAGAGGCAGCAGCTGGAGCAAAATAAAGCGCCAAGAGTCCCGGAGGCAGCTGATGCTTAGAGGCTCAAAGGCAACAGAGAAGAGGTGGCTGATCATGCTTTATTTACTGGTAGCTATTATTATTATTAATATGCTTTAGGGGGAACCTATTGAAATCTAGTTCAATTTTAAACACAGTTAATTAAGAAGCATATCTTTATTTGTTTTGCTATTTTCCAAAGTGAAAACTCTGATTTGGAACATTAGAAATCAAGGGAGCACTGGTTAATTTTCATCCCTCTTCTTTCATTTTTACATATTCCAATGCTTTGCCTTGCAACATCATTAATACTTTATATTATTTTGTAAACACATGTCTAGGTAAGGTCACTGAAGAAGGTTCTGGAAGCATTTAATAAGTGGTGTAAAATCCTGATATTGATATTGCAAAATGAAATAACTGATAAGGAAAGTAAGACTTTTGGGTGATGTTGGAAATCTAATTCTCTTTATTAACCTTGTAATTCCAGTAGAGGTGAGATTTGGGATAATGGTCTAAGGTGAAGAATTTTATAGTGAGTTTGTCAAGAGCTCTAGTTTTAATGAATTTATAGCCAGATCTGTTAATGGAGTCATAATAACAACAGGGAATGTGATAATAAAATTAGGAAGAATCAAAAAATATTTGTGATAAAGAACAAATTGATAAGCAGAGATTCCTAGATTGAAGTTTCCTGCTGCCGTGGTAAATCTAATTTCTTGTTTCTTTCTCACTGGCAGGGATTGATATAGAAGTGCTTGATAAGCAATACAGGTCTGAGCAGTATTGCTATGGGGCTGATTCACTAAAAACCAGAACTTACATAAGCCTAGATTAAGTGGGAAAAAATAAAGGAATTTAATAGCCAAATGGACCTTTAACCTATATTGCTGGTCACACACCAGTTTCTTAAAAACTCCACCCTGAACCAAGCTTGCAAACTGTTATTGAAAAAGCAAGGGGGGCGGGGGCACAAGAGTGTTACATCTTGTATACCAAATGATAAAGATAATACTTATTTACTGACATTTATGGATAATATAATCCTTATAGTGTTTAAATTAAATGTTAAAGTTAATCCTCTTTACACAGTAAACTTCATCAGAATTTGGATGAGAGGACTAAAGCAAAGTCTTGGGTTCTAAACTAATGTCATTGTCTAGAATTAAAAAAAATGAATAACCTAGAAAAGGAAGCTGAACTTTTCACAGGACACATGCTTCGGGGGCTTATATTGAATAGAAATTCTTTATTAGCAGCTACATAAGAAAGAGGCATATAAAGGGAACTTTTTTTTCCATGCTGAAAATGATAGATATTTACATTTACTTGAATCTTTTTTTTTTTTTTTTTTTTTTTGGCAGAGGTCTTAAAATGCCTTTTTCTTTTGTGTTTATTCTGACTCATCAGTAATTCCGCTAATAATTTAAGTTCTGGTAAGGCATGGATTCCAAAGCTCTTAGAAGTCAACTTGTAAAGAGCTGGTGCTTAAAAGTAGCTGATTAAATGGCAGTACAAGGTGGAGAGGAGTGAATGATCCTGAGGTCAGCAACTCCCCTTGTGAAAATGTCATAGTGATGTGGAAAAAAACCTGGACACCCTCCCTTTTCTCCCTTCGAGTAAGCAGTAGTTTGGGGGCTGGGGCTGTGTGTTGGGGGTGCTGCTCATGTGGGCTTCCAGGAGCTGAGGCTGGATATGTGGGAGCCATTGTTCTGAGGCTGTAGGGTATGAAGCCATGGGACACAGGGGTCAAGGGTGGAACAGGAAGTAAAGGAACTGGTAAAGCCTCTAGCCTAGAGAGCTGGCAGAGAATGAAAACAGAACTGGAGAGAATTGGTGGGTGTAGATTAGACAACAGGCAAAGCTGATTGAACAGGTTTGGGAGGTGAGGGCTTGAAAGCAATTTTTCAGAGGCTATATGACTGTGGCTGAACCTGCTTCAGACAGTCAGGCCCTACTGTCAAGAAGGAGTTGACACTCTGCTTGACTGCGTAGTACCATGTGCTTCCTCACTGCTTCCCCTTTCTCTGGATTATCCAGATAGGCTTGAAAGAGAAGGGTGAGGATGGTTAATCAGAAAAAGACTCCTGGCTTACAAATCTGCAACGTAGCTCATCGACAGCTGATCAGGACATGTGCATTGGGAAAACTGTGCTTTCAGTATAGCAGAGATAAATGCTTTGAAATAAAGGCAGAAAAAAAAAAAAAAGAGATCATGCAAGTTTTCACATTCAAACTATAAAGCTTGCAATTTTTAGGCATTTTTTCCCAAGCCCCTTCGTGCTCTTTTCAATACTTGCTCTGAGAGAAGAAACCCTCTTCAGTTTGGTGATCCATGGTACTCTGGTTAGGAGATATGTGCTGTGAGAGAAGCAAGGAGGGCGGAATGTCAATACAAGTGTGACCATGACTGTGACCATGATAGCCACTGTGAACACTGCCAATGCCCATGCTACTATTAGGAACGGGGCCTTGTTGGAGGGAAACTACCTCCGCTTTTAAGAATGTATATGTTTAAGGGCATTTCATTGTAGAACAAAAATAGATTGGTGTGAAGCTGAGACATTAAATACCTTAAAAATTTCTTACATCACTTGAAATTTATTTTCTTCCTTTTTGGGTCATTTTTGAGGCTTATGGACATAGGGGTGCTACTCAAACACGTAAAAAGCTATATGGCTTGGGCACTGGTCATCAGAACAGATGCCAGCTGCACTGTTTCAGCAGGGCCCAGGAACACCCTGCCCTGCCTGGCATCACTTCTGCAGCTACACAATAGGAGTGGGGACATAAGGAGACCCCGGGGAAGCATCAAGGTGGCTAGCTCAATGAGGTCACATTGTGGGAGCTCAGAGATTCAGCTATTTACTGGTCAATATAGAAGTATTTACATTTTGTAGCAAAAGGTTGGCCCCACAAGCTGAGTAGCAGTTCTGCCTTATGAAAATGACTTGCTTGTCCTCAGCCTTTGTCACTCTAATGACATCCATCATCTCTTCAGAATTGCACATATCCAGACTGTTGATGTCCCCAATTCCGCAAGAGGGGCTCTTTCTGTTGGCTTCTAAATAATAGATTTCCTGTACATCTTTCCCACAAGTGTTTATACTAAGATGTCTACTCAAAGTGTGGCTCAGAGAGCTCTAAACATCTTACTTGACAGCTTTGGATCAGTCACGTTAACTCCTCATATTCCATGGACACTTGAAAATCTAACATCCAAATGTATTGAGTTCTTCATTTGTTAGATATGAAAGACACTTTTATGTCTAGCCAGGCTCAGCGGCTCATGCCTGTAATCCCAGCACTTTGGGAGGCTGAGGCGGGCAGATCGCATGAGGTCAGGAGTTTGAGACCAACCTGGCCAACATGGTGAAACCCCATCTCTACTAAAAATATAAAAATTAAACGGGTGTGGTGGCGGGTGCCTGTAATCCCAGCTACTTGGGAGGCTGAGGTAGGAGAATGGCTTGAACCCAGGAAGCAGAGGTTGCAGTGAACCAAGAATGCAGCACTGCACTGCAACCTGGGTGACAAAGTAAGACTCTGTCTCAAAAAATAAATACATAAATTAAATAAAATAAATAAATATTAAATAAATAAATTTTAAAAAGACACTTTTCAAATTCAAACTCTTCTAACGAAGTCTCACTCTCTACAGAATGGCTTATATGAGGAGCTGAGAGAGTGCTAACTGCCAACATGTGTTTTAGTTGAAACATATTTGCTAATGTAAACAACTTATGCCTGCCTGTGGCACCCAAGAAGGTCACATGAGGCTTGCATGATACTTGGAGAATGCTGCTCTCACAAAGATTAATACGTGTAAATCTGTAACTCATATTTCTGTGCTCACACGTGTCTCACACAATTAAAGAGAAAGGGGACTTACTTACATCAGGCCAGCACTCTGAAAACTCCAGCATTTGATCAATAGAAAAGAAGGGAAAAAAATCAATGAAAAATGAAGGGAAACTGAAGAAAAAATGAATTAAGTGAATTTCCCCCACTCCTTCTTTTAGTTTGGATTTATTTGCTGTAGCTTTTATTTTTTCAAATGCAAAGTATGTTTCTCAAGTAGCTTTTTTAATTTCAGAGAATAAAATGGCTTTGAAGCTGTTTTCAGTGTTTAGGTAGAGGATAGCTCTTTGACAAAATATTGTAAGGCAGTGGTTCTCAAACTTGAACAAACACCAGAATCACCTGGCAGCTTCTTAAAATAAAGCTTGCTAGGCCCCACCCCCAGAGATTTTGATTCAGTAGATCTGGGATGGGGCCTGAAGATCTGCATCTCTACCAAGTTCCCAGATAATGCTGATGCTACTGGTCTCCAGGTTTACCCTTTGAGAACAACTGTAAGGCAGGGGTTATTAACCTCTGATGCACAGGAGAATCACCCAGGGAGCTTTTAAACACTCTCCAAGCTAGGGTTCCATCCTCAGAGTTTCTGATTTAATTAGCCTGTAGAGGTTCTAGGGAATTGGTAATGCTTAAAAACTCTCCAGGTGATTCTAATGTTCAGCTGGTGTTAAGAAACATGGCCTAAAGATTAATGACCAGTATGGGATTTGTTATTGGTTGATATTTGGCTGAATAGTAAATGATTTTGAATCTAGGAGTAACTTCAGAATTTGACGGATGCCAAACCTATTTAAAAAATAAGTGTTAACACATTAATATCAGAATTAACAGCTACTTTAAAATAATGACAAACTTTAATTTCCCCTTATTCAGGTATGGGGGAGGAGAGAAGGGTTGAGGCAGGGGAGTCTTACCTCACTTTCTTTACAGCATCCCCTTCTACCCAATCCTTGTCTTCGGTTTCTGAACCTTCTTCCTTTTGCCCAACCTTTTGTTCAAAGGTCAGTTGGCTGATTGCTGGAGCTGTTCTCCAGAAAAATAGGTGGTTTAAACAGAAAAAGCTCTGAGAATGGCCACAAAGGGTTTGAGGGCACCTCCCGGAAGTGGAGAGATGTATTTTACAGAGTGCTGGCCTGGGAGTCAAATAATCAGCTTTCAGATTCTTATTACTTTCTCAGTAATAAGAATAGCTCATAATCTTTTATTTCCCAGTAATAAGATAGCTCTGCAATCTTGGGAAAATCACTGAATCATGCTAAACTTCACTTTTCTTTAACTATGACATGGGGACAACATCTACCTCCCGTAAGTTTGTTTCAAGGATTAAATAAGATGTTAGGGATGAGACTTTGATTATCTTGTTCACCGCTGACACCAGAGCTCCTGGGATAACACCAACACAAAGAAGGCATTTGGATATTGGTCAAATTAAAACAAAATTTGTAAACTGTAAAGTACCAAAGAAAGATGGCCGTTACCCTGAGTGAATGTGCTTTCTAGCCTAAAGCTCTCTCTGCACTTCCCACGCACTTTGGCCTATATCCTTCCTTGGACTCTCTGCAGCTCTGCAGACATAGTGTTTACAACCAGACAAGGAAAGCAAAAGTTGATATGACTCCATTCTTCTTTGTAGGAGTAAACATCTGATCATTATCACATTTCATTTCTAAAATATTCTTTCAATAAAGAATGCAAAATATAGTCTTGCTGATGATATTCTTCTCAGTATTGCTTTTTTAGAACTTCAGAAGGAATTATGTCAGTTGAGAAAGAACTGTTAGCTGAAGTCAGGCACTGAAGTCCTGGGTTCTATTTATTCCTAACAGTACTGTGGTACCTCATGCTTTATAAATAACCTTTATTGACTTAACTTTGGCACGCCTCAGGTCACTGATTAAAATTATGCCAAAATAATATCTTTCTCTCTTCTAGGAATACATTTCTCTGTTTGGTTGTACACTTATACTGATACAGTAGAACCAGCCCAGCTGAATAAATTAGGACGGGTTAGGGGTATGTCATTCGTCAAATTATATGATTGTAAAAGTGGAAGGCTGCCAGATTTGGCTGGAACAGCAATAGCTTTCCTATGCTTGGCAAAGGATCTGAATATTTGGTTGAACCAATTTTACCATGGCACATGAAGTTCCTTGGTTAGTAAATGCTTGTATTATATCAGAGCCAAGAGGGTGGACACATACACTGAATTGAAACATAGGGAAAATCTTGGTTATCATCTTACTGATAAACTCAGTTATATGAGTTATGTTTATGCGTTGATTCCTTTGTGCAAAGGTGACATGTCGATCTAACCCCTTTGTTTTTGCCGACTAGTCAATAATTATATCATAGCTACTTAACTTTTTCAGAGTGTTTATTTTTGAATAGACAGCACATTTTTATTATTATATAGATATTGCTATGACATGGTATTTTGATATAAACATGCTCTAAAAACATAACTTTGAAGGAAAATCCAAGATTTTCGAAATTATTAGAGAGTTCTAGCTCTCCCAAATCAGGGAATCTCAAAGAAAGCGCCTTTCTTTTACCCTCACCCCCTGGCCTGGATTTCACAGGCAACAGCTTTTTTGCAGTTGTAAAGTTAGTCTTCAAATATAAACCGAGATCCTGGGCTTCATTACTGTTGTTGGCCAGAAAACTAGAGTCAGTGTTATCTCTAAGTTTGTGAAATTCAGAAAAAACAGCTCTGTGGTGGCAGGGCTAGAATTTTATAGCCTGGGTAAAGAATGCCATTGAAGTTGTCAGACTCATAAACTTAAAATGTTTAGATCTTTTGGAGGGAGGGAGCATGGTGTGATGGTGGAAGCAAAGAACTCCAAGTCTTCAGGACAATGTTTTCTTCCCAAGACTCATACATTCTCATACATTTTTACAACTTCAGACCAGTGTCTTCCTGCCTCAGTTTCTCCACCTACACAATGGAATAATTGTAAGAATTAACATAGCTTTGCTTGAGATCACAGTTTAGAGGCCACTTTCTCTTGGGAAATGTTTTTTGAACCTATGATTTTTTTTTGTTGTTTGGTGCCTGATTTTTTGAAAACTCACCCTCTCTTTTCCTCTTCCCCCTCCCACTTTCCCACCCTCCCCTAAAATCCTATGCTTACTTACCACTTGGCTTTATGTTTGCCTATTTACTTCTCTTTCCGCTATACCTCCCCTGTCTCCATTCCCCCAGATTATAAATTCTGGTCTAAAACTAGATTTCCACTGTTATAACTGCAATGTCTAGCCCTGGGTCTAGATATAGAACACTCAATAAATGTTTACTGTCAGAATAAGGGAATAAAAGAACAGATATTCTTCTTAGTGCTCAAGGACAAGTCTATATAATTGTTGCAAGATAAATTTTTTTCACTTGTGTATTTATGAGTGGGTGGCAAGTCATATAGCCTTATTAGCATGGCTCAAGAAGAAAAGAGGTCATGTTGGTGAATGATTCTTAACAGCCAAAATGATTCATGGAGGTATGTATGCTTGGCACACATTTGCTGCTGGAGTGATGGGCAGGGCACAGCTGCCATGGGAACTGTTGGACTGATAGCCTATACCCACAAAAGGAAGGGAAGCTCTTTTCTGCTCAACATTCAGACAGGGACACACCATATGACTATAAAGTGATTGGATAACTGAGACCACTTTCAGTCAATTGAGCTAGCCAGTCAACAATGCTAACATTTACTGAGCACTTCTTATAGCCAGACACTTTTTTAAGCACTTATATGATTAAGTTAATTAATTATCAGACTAGAGATGATTGTGATTCCCATTTTAGAGATTTTTAAGACACAAAGAAGTGAGGTCAATTGCCTAGGGTCACATAATCAGAAAATGGAGGAGGCAGTCTTCAAACCCAGGCGGTCAGGCTCTGGCACCTGTAAACACGCAACCATTATACATCTGCCTTTTGGGAGCGGGCTGGCTGTACTCTCAACTAAGCAGATCATAGGGCTAGTTGTTACATCAATCAGTCAACCAAGCAATCAGTCAATACTTTAGACTGCAGCTTGGTTCTGCAGGGGTCATCAAAGCTGTAGATATCAAGGCCCTGCCCTGAGAGCCCTGCAGTCATTCAAGGCAGGCACAGTCTTAGAAAACATTTTAAGACAGTGCATAATTATGTGTTTATTTGCATGGTGCAGTGAGTGCCATCATACCCAGATACTGAGAATCATTCCTGCCCTCCTAGAGGTGAGTTCTGAGAAAAATGGCATTCTCTGACTTGCATGTATGGCTCAGCTGAAATTATCAGAATTGCTGACCACCTTAGGCATCCCTTCTGTTTCTTTGAGGAAAAAGGATTCAGGCAGGGCCAGCTGGATCACTCCTGAGGTAGAGGAGGATTTTTGTATAACTAAGAAAAGGATCAAAATGATAATGATATAATAATAATGACAGTGAAAGTTAACGTTTATTGGACACATGTGCACTTATGTTCTAATACATACCTACTCATTTCCTCTCTCTATAATTATTCATTTCCTTCTCACAATAACGATACAAGGTATGTACTACTATTTTTTTTTGTATTTTACAAATGACAAAATGAAGACACAGAAAGATAAAGCCACTTTGCTAGTAAAAGGCAAAGTCTAGGCTTCTTTTTTTTTTTTTTCTTAACAATTGTTAAGGTTCTTACTGTATGCCAGAGACTGTTTTGAACACTTTCTATATATTAACACATAAGATCCTCATAGCAGGTCCATTTCACAGATTGGGAAACTGAGGTAGAGTAAGGTTAAGTAAATCATCAAGAGAACACACTAACAGTTGTAACAAGCAGTCTGTTTGATCTTAAAGCCTGATGTTGTATTTATTTGGCTCTATGGCCTCTGCTTGACTTTCTCTCAATGCTTACCCGAGACTTTCAGGGTTCTGTTATCTAAAAAATGACATCAATAACATTAATACCTATCTTATAGGATTGTTTTGAGGATTACATGTGACAGTTTATGTGAAGCACTTTGCATAGGGCTCAACACATTGTAAAGGTTTAATACCTGTTAATTTAGAATGCTCCTAGCGTTCACAAAGTTTTACTTCTTTTGGAATTAGAATTAAGTTCAAACATTTATTTTGCACTTATTAGCTGGGTAGCTTGGGCAATGTACTTAACTTTTCTGTTACTCAGTGTAAAATGGAGGAGATAATAGTATCTTTCTCAGAGGATTGTTGTGAAGATGAAATGAGACAACACATTTAAAGAGCTGAGCTCTGTGTGTCGATTAATGCTTGCATCTGTTATTAGGAGAAGCAAGGGAATGGAGTCGGGAGGGACACAAAGAGCCTTTATTATGAACTTCATGGTGTCATTAAATATGGGTGACTCAGTGGGCATATTCAAGAGTGGGGACAAGAGAGCAGTTTGCCAGGATGACCTGACTTCCTGCAGGCATCTCGCACAGTTCTGGAGAGTCTGGTTTAGAGCCAGGCAGCCCTGCGTTCTAGGCGACACTCCCCGTGGCCTGGGCAAATTATTTAATTGCTCTAAGCCTCAGATTCCTCATCTGTGCAATGGGGATAATGTTACTGCCCTCTAGGGTTGTCATGAGGATTAACTGAGATATTGTATGTAATTCACTTGGCACAGTGCCTGGCAAATAATCAACTCCCAGTAAAAGGTAACTATCAGTGTTACTGAAAGTTGTCATGGAGGGCGCAAAACACAGCCTCATGACTTGCACAATCATGTAGCCATTTCTGACTAGTAGAAGGACTACTCCCATATTCCTAAGGATTTTTACTGTGAGGTTATGCCATTCGCTATTCCTGCTACAATCTTCGCCTTGTAGTCACAGGATGAGGGGAACTTGAGAACTGGGGGTATACTTGGTAGAGTAGAACAAGATTTTTGAGATAGTTAAATTTGAATGTTTCCTTTAATAAATGAGAATAATGAGGTCAAAAGCTCATTAAAGGACTTGCTCAAGGTCAGACAGCTGAGTTGTAGTCAGTAGGACCAGAACCCATGTCTCTTGGTTCCCACACTTAAAAATTTCCATGGGGTTAAGAAGTAGATTTCCTAAGTCATGTCAATTGTATATTGCTGTGGTGAGTGGTGCTATATATGCAGCCCTAATCACTTAAAAGGGTTAATATGCTGACTGAGGCATTGAGGAGAATCTGATTTAAGGAGTTTTTATTGATGAAGGATTCATAATTGCTGGAATAAAACTTTTATGTGTATGCATGCTCCTTTAAAAATTTGGTCAGAACAGGAGTAAATACCTCATTCAAGGTATGTAAGAGACATGAAATATATCACTTGAAATTACTTAACAAAATGTTTCTACATGGGAAGCCTGCATCTTGCTTTCTATTATTTTTAATTCATAGGTTTTATTAATTAGGTAAATAATTCTTCCTATTTTAAAATCATAATTTAAAAAAAGAAGAATTGAGTGGATGATGTATTAGTTATCTGGATTAAAGAGGTATCATCTACCAGACAATTGCCAAATCTAGAATTTGTTTCTTGTTTGAAATAAGTCTCAGTTTTTACATCAATATTACAATCATATGCCTCTTAATGTTTTGATCAATGGCAGACCGCATGTACGATGGTGGAACCATAAGGTTATAATGGAACTGAAAAATTCCTATGGCCTAGTGATGTTGTAGCCATAGTAATGCCATAGCAGAAGGCATTACTCATTTCGTTTGTGGTGATACTGGTGTACACAAGCCTGCTGCACTGCCAGTCATATAAAAGTATGGCACATACAATTATATACAGTTCATAATACTTGATCATGATAATAAATGACTATGTTACTGGTTTATATATTTACTATACTATACTTTTTATCATTACTTTTGAGTTTACTCCTTCTACTTATTAAAAAAAGAGTTAATTGTAAAACAGCCTTAGGCAGGTCTTTCAGGAAGTATTCCAGAAGAAGGCATTGTTATCCTAGGAGATGACAGCTCCATGCATGTTACTGCACCCAAAGAACTTCCAGCGGCACAAGATGTGGAGATGTAAGATGGTGATATTGATGATCCTGACCCTGTGCAGGCCCAGACTAATATGTGTGTTTTTGTCTCAGTTTTTAATAAAAACGCTTAAAAAGTAAAAAATCCAAAATTTTAGCAATAGTAAAAGGTATATAGAATAAGGCTATAAAAATATTTTGTACAGCTGTACACGTCTTTGTGTTTTAAGCTGTGTTATTACAAGAGTCAAAAAGTTAAAAAATTAAAAAGCTTATCAAATAAAAAAGTTACAGTAAGCTAAGGATAATATATTATGGAAGAAAGAAATTTAAAAAATAGATTTAGTGTAACCTAAGAGTACATTGTTTATAAAGTCTACCTTACAGAAATGTCCTAGGCCTTACCATTCCCCCACCACTCACTCACTCACTCACCCAGAGCAACTTCTAGTCCCACAAACTACATTCATGGTAAGTGCCCTCTACAGCTGTACCATTTTTATCTGTATTTTTAGTGTATCTTTTCTATGTTTAGATACATTTAGCTGCACAGATACTACCACTGTGTTATAATTTTGCCTACGGTATTCAGGACAGTAACATGCTGTACAGATTTGTAGCCTAGAAACAATAGGCTATACCATATAGCCTAGGTGTGTAGTAAGCTATACCACCTAGGTTTGTGTAAGTACACTCTACAACATTCTCACAATGACAAAATTGCCTAACGATGTATTTCTCAGAATGTTTCCCCACAGTTAAACAACAGATGACTGTATTAACAGTCAGGCCACAAAGTAATACTGTATTTTACACAGTAAAAGAACTAGTAACATAGGGGAAGATAAGAAAAAGTATTTTAAAGCCTAACTCAAAATTGCAGCCATGACCGCCAATGTCTTATTAGAGTAATCCTTCATAGTTTAAATATCATAATTGTTTAATTGGTCAATATGTATTTTACACTCATAACCCAAAATAGTCCTGTATTTAAAGGTAAAATCTGATAATTTGTACCATTGAGGAGTATGCAAAGAAGGAAAATCATCCTCCAAAATTAAAGTGGCTTAACAACATACAAATTTATTTTTCATTCAAATAAAAGAAAGATAGACATAAGCAGTAGAGAGAGTAGCTCCAAGGTACCATCGGAGGCCCTGTCTCCTGTCATCAGTCTTACCACCTGCTTGGAGACTGGGAGCTGTTTGTTAGAACCTGTTTCTCCTCTTCTTCAGTGAGTAATAAATAGAACTGTAGCTGAGATGTGGCTGTCCAATTAGGAATTCATTTCCCACGGTCTCCCTTGCAGCTGGATGTTGCTGTGCCATGGAACTTTTACCGATGGGATGTGAACAGAAATAATGTGGGCAGCCTCCTCCTCACCTTCCTAAGAGGAGATTTCTGGTCCTGGCCTTCCGCATTTTTCCATGTTAGATTTCACTGGATGATGACAGCTGATAGCTTAGAAGCTACACAACAAAGATGCAGAGTTATCAAGAGCCTCAGTCCTTGAATAGCTGGAGCAAAACTGCCCATTGCCCAGAACCCTTTCTGTGACCTGTAACGCAAGAGAGAAGTAATCTGTTTTCCAACTCATGAAGTCTAGACTGGCTTTGCTGCAGCACCTTAGCCTATCTTCACTAAGAGCATCCTATGTATGACTTATATCCTCAAAGTTGCTCTGTGGTCCAAGATGGCTGCTTGAGCCACCTGTGTGTGACAGCACCAGTTATCAGACCCATGCTGCAGGTCAGGAGGAAGGAGGAAGAAGGAATCTGAGCTCTCTCATCTGAGTCTTGTCCTTCAAACAGCCTTGCTGGAAATCATCCACTTAACCTCTCATTGGGTAGAACTTTGTCACTTGGTCACATCTAGCCAAAAGAAGACTGAGAAATGCAATCTTTTAGTTTGGGGGGTAACATGCCCAGTTAAAAGTCAGAGTTCTGCTCTGAAGAAGAATATCAAGGGAAAGCAGTTTCCAGTCTGCTGCAGATGGCTTTTTCATTTTCCAGTGAAAAGGCAAAAGATAGAGGTTCTAATCACTTCCAGCAATAGTCTTAATTATTTTACTCCAAAAAATATAAATGAGAAATAGAATTATCCTTCTTATTAGAAACTATGCTGTTTATGGTGATGCCATGCATGTGTTTGTGTGTATAAGATAGTATATGTATTTGGAGGAAGGCAGATGGTGGGGTTTGGCACTGGTGATAAAGCTGACAGGGCTTGTGCTCTAGGATGGTGCTTTCTACCCTAAGGGGAAAATACAGTTCCTCTAGGATTCAGAGAATGTCATCTTTCTCCCAGAGCTGGAGATGTTGCAGATGTTGCAGCTTACCCTTGGGACATGGCCTGACAAGGGTTCTTACCCAATTGATGAAATATGTTTCTGGATGACTTGTTTGTAATGTCACATCATAGAGGAGTTTCTCAAGGAGATTCTCTCTTCTTCTGCAGTTTATATTGTTAAACCCTCAAATAAATTCAGTTTAGGGATTTTCTAACCAGTTTCCAGATCCATATTTAAAGTTGCCTTATGCAAGATGTTTGGCAGCACCCTTTCCATGTAACATAACTACTGGATGGTATGTATACATGCTCTGGGCAGTGGTGAGAACTTCACATTTCCTGTTGCATGAAATGCTCTTTCTGATATCTTTGCTGAGAGTAGTATTCATCCAAATGAACTGCATGCAAACATTCAACCTAACTTTGATTAGTACTGGGTACGATTTATTTTAACCTCAGGTTTAGTGCTCCTTTCTTTTATTAATGTAGTGACTGCTTAGGATAGGTAACTATCCTAAGTAGGAGAGAGAACTGAGAAATGTGCCCATAATAATCACTTTCAAACTATCATTAAAACAGACAATAACTCTTTCATCATTTTTTGTATCTAAAGGATTAAATTGATACAATATTCTTACCATGCCAAAAAGTACACAATTATTTAGAGAGCAGAGATCATATGTTTCCATGAACCAGTATTTCCCTATTGAATGGTAATGTTTCTTTTAGTAACAAATGAGTTCTTATACTTAATATTAGGGCAAGTGCTTGCTACAAAATGTCAGTAATATATTCATGAGGTGAATCACTTTGGAACAGTCTTTTAAGCAATTTCTGAGCTTGTGGCTTGCCCTCTTTAGAGTGGCCAGTGACTTAGTCCCTCAAAAATGAGGATGCAGTTCAGGTAGAACAGGAGCCCTGAAATTATACAAAGTGCTAGAAAGTATTAATAGTTGGAGTTGAATTGAGGAGACAAGAGGAAGGCTTGTCACAAATGACTTTTTAGAGTTGGGTCTGTGGCAGAAACAGCCAGTTGTTCCCTGGTATCTCCTCTCTCCTGTTTCTATGGAAGCAGAATTTTTAGCTGGGCCTCTTGTGCAATTGGTGTATACATATGATGGAATTCTAGCCAATAAGATATTAGCAAGGTTGCTGTGTGCAACTTCTAGATTGTGTTCTCAAAGGGAGAGGATGTGCCTTTCTGTTCTCTTCTTGTCCCTGCTGACTGGAATGTGTTAGGAGAACTGGAGCTGAGGCAGCTGTGATTGAGCAAAAAGCTAGAAGGAGTCCAGGATCCTGGCACTACAGAACTGCTGTACTTGCATGACTTCTGGGACTGCACTTGAGAGAGAAATACACTTCTATTTTGTTCAAGACACCACTATTTCAGGTCTGTCTATTACAAAAGCCAAACTGATATACCACAAATACAGGGGACAGAGTCCTTCCATTGGGTCAGTCTCCAAGCCTTTTGGTTCAGCACCACATGTGATTAACTTCTGGGATAATGGGACTCACTTTATCATCATCATCATCACCACCAGATACTTCCAGCTGGGGAGGCATCCCTTCTCATTCAGTTGTAGGTCCAAACTGAATCCTAGCCTCCACCCATATTTTTCTACTGCTAACCTGGTAAAAACCTTCCCAGGTATTTGGAGGCTGTTATTGACTGACAAAATTCATATTAAAAGCCAATCTCCATTGTGGTGGTATTAGGAGGTGGTTAATTTAGGGGGTGATTAGGTCATGAGGAATCCACAATCATGGATGGGATTAATGCCCTTATAAAAGAGGTTAAAGAAAGCTGCCTTGTTTTTTCTGCCATCTGAAGACACAAAAGGCACCATCTATGAGGGATGGGTCCTCACCAGACCTGGCATCTGCTGGCACCTTGATCTTGCACTTCCCAGTCTCTTGAACTGTAAGAAATACATTTCTGTTGTTTATAAATTACTCAGTCAAAGGTATTTTGCTTTAGCAGCCAAAATAGATTAAAACAGAGGGGATAAGTAGATTTACAAGATAAATACTTTAAGTATTGAGTAGATTTCACAAGACTGATTTTTCCTGTCCACAATCCCTTGAGCCTCCTTCAGACTTCAGTAGAAAGTACTGACCTCCAAAATCTGAAACCTTCAAAGAAGATGCTCTGCTCCCACTGTCATTTTTTAAAGTTTATTCTTTCTGAACCTGAGATCTTGCATAGCAAAGAACCTATTCTAGATATTTAGTGGGGTATTGGAAGCATTAGAAATCGAACTTATTTGCATCATATTTATGTGATTCAACTACATTTATCTGATTTATCTAACTGGAAGCCCTTGTTTTTTGTATTTAGATTTTAATCTCTCTGCTTTGTTTCTTCATACAGTGAAGTGTCAGAGGCAACATGTTGGTAGAAGAGCTCTGGTCAGGAATTAGGAAACTGGAGAACTCATCCTGGGTGTGCTGTTTACCAGCATGGCTCTCTGACCCTCAATTTTCCCAGTCAAGTTGGGATTTTAATATTTTCTCTCAGTGCCTCAATTTACTATTCTGTGATTAACCCTTTGGTGCATGGAAATAATGAGAAAAAAAGTGCCTTGAACATCATGAAGTCTTATATCACCGTAGGTTAGAAGGAGTCTCCGTGAATTTGCGCTGGCAGTCTTCGTGGTGAAGTTGGATTGTTAATTCTCAGTCACAAATGTGAACTTGCGTTCCTGCCAACAGATGCTCTCAGCAAGTTTCTCAATAATTTATATACTTGTACCCTTTTCTCTGGACAATTGCCTCCTCACTTTCCCCCCCAAATAGCTATCTAGATATCTAGATAATTTCTTTTAAGTTACCTTTAGTTTTGTCTATAAAAGATGATTTTACAGATTCAGGTCTTAAGACATATCAGTGTTTACCCAATGGCACATAAGAAATGTTTTGGTCATTTCTGGATTTAAGTATAGTTACTCTCCTTTGAAGGCAAACACATGTTCCCCTTGGATAAAGGAGTTAGTGTTGGTTGCTCCTTCCTTTCTGCTTCCTCACTTTCTATTTTCCTTTTTCATATCATTTGCTACCCAGTATTGTCATAATGGGGTCACAGTGAAGAGCAGCAGGGACTTAGTCTCACTAACTGTTGCACCTCGGGCTTGGCACCATGCCAGGCATCTAGCAGTTTCTCATTCCATACATGTTGAATGAATGAATGAGCAAATGTGAAGGATAAATTTTCTATCTGGGACAGGCAGTGTGGCAGTAATACAGTACAGATTAGTGTTCAGATTGGCTGGTGATTGAATGGCACTGAGTCAGTCTTGCCTGTGTCACTGAAACTGAGACCTCAGAAGTTTAGCTTGATAGAATAGACATGGGTTAGAGGAAAAAGTTACTGATGTTGGAGCAGGAAATACAGCATGGAAAACAGAAGTAAATGTCTGTGGAAAGGAGCTGGGGAGCTTGAAACAGGTCTGGTGCTGTGTCAAGCTTACTGCTGCAGCTCTGGGAAATATCTTGTTCAGAACCATACACTTCAGGCTCTGTAAGTAAATCACTGAGAATTATTTATTTCTGCTGTGTCTTTAGGCTTTTTTTTTGTTTTTGGCCATCATATAGGAAGAGTGGATTCCTTTAGAATATGACATTCATATCTTCCTCTTCTCAGACATTTGAACAAGTAATCATCTATCTCAGAAGCATTACTGGTTTTTTTTTTAGCCAGACAAAACTTAAAATATCTTATCTATTACAAATTGCTTTCAGGATAATAATGTTGTTCTGTAACTTTATTTGATGACTCTTCACAGTAAGTAGACAAATAATTTTTACGTGCCAGGTCATTTAAAAAACCCCTCCCGAGTAGGGATCTCTGTAGGTACATAAAAGTAAACAATTAAGGGAAATTCTCATTAAGAAAAATGTCTAATAGAATTAGAGAGAACCTACTTTTTGCTACTTTAATTCCATGCTCCCCTCCCCCAGCTTCAACAATGTCACCAGGTTGAGAAACAGAAGGAGAAAAAGATTAATCATTAGTAAAAACACACCCTTCTGCCCCTCCCCCTGGCATCCTGAAATTTGAGTGAGTCAAAAATATGTAACATTTAATCAGAGGAGTTGATTTTTTCCCATTCGTGTACTATCCCCCCTTCCTCTCTCCATTCCCTTTTGAAAGGGGAAGGTGATTTTTTTGGCTTCACTCATGTCTAGTCAACCTTTATCCTCTCCCTTCTCCCTTTTCAATCTCTAGGGTGTATTTTGGAGAAAACCTTCCCCGACCCCCCCTTTCTGGCATTCATTATTTTCTTTACTTTTAGACACTAATGGTTTCAAAACCAATCTCAACACATGACTCAGTTATTTTAGAAAGGACTGTACTATATCTTTTTAGATCCTTTTCAGGCCTCACATACAAACTTCCAAATGTAGGCTAAGGACGTGTTCCTTTCTTTGTATGTTTTCCTGTACCAATTTTTCAGTAGTTGGTTAGCTGGCCAAAAACGTTTATTCTAATAAGTGTATCAAAGTGGCTTTCTCCCCATCTCTTACTCCCTCCTTTTCTTTGTTCCTTCCTTTCCTTTTTTCTTCCCTCCCTTTCTCTCTTTATTCTTTCTTCTCTGGTTTTACTCTCTTCCCCACTTAGATGCTCAGAACTTGGATTAGGTGCTAAGAATAAAAAAAAATGATATGATAAAATCCCAGCCCTCAGGGAACTCACAATTATCGATTAACTGTGAATTCCCTTGCAATGGAACAAGTGTCCTAAAAGGGGGGTGGAATGGTGCCCGGGAAGGAAGACCAGAGAAAGCCCTACTGCCAGAGGTGGAAATGGGAGGGGCCCTAAAGGAGGAAAGAGCATGCAGATTTTGCAGGGGTGGGATGGGACAGACAGGCACATAGAGGAAACAGCAGATTCAGAGATAAAAAGAAATGAGAAGTTTAGGGCAATGCAGACTGGAATAGATATGGAGATGAGTCAGAGATGAGACCAGAAAGGTCTTGAAAGGCCTGCTTAGGGTTTAGACTTTCGACTGTAGGCACTGGAGCCGTTGATGATTTTGTGGAATAGAGGGATCTGCCTGGATGGAGTTAGAACAGAGGGGAGCAGGGAAGAGAAGAAACATAGGGCGACAAAATAAAAATATTGTGATAGTCTAGGTAAACAATTATAAAGGACTGAACTAAGGCAATGGGCAGAGGCTGAAACTGAGGAGACGAACCTGAGGCCTATTTGGAGGTGCACTGGACAGGACATAATGGATGATTAGATGTGGAGTCGAGGGAGGGGGACGAGTCTCCAAGTCTAGCCAGCTTTCTGTTTCCTGACCTGGTGCCGTTCATTGAGATAGGTAACACTGAAGTGGGAGAGGTTTTGAGGGAGGAAAGATGATGAATTCTTGGCACTAATTCAGACTGTATCATTAAGCTAACGAACCATCTTGCCAGTAGAAGCTGTTGCTAGAAAGAAGAACCAGGAAAGGCAGTTACATCAACACAGCTCTTCTGATATATTGGTAGGGAGAAACTTCAGAACTCTAATGGAAAATACATGGATTAGAAATCAAATAAGTGATTTTTTTGAAAAAAATTGCAAAATACATATATAGCTAGTACTTTGCATGAAGGTGAAAATACTGATTAGGCATTAGGGTTAAAATAACATTAAGGATGAATTTTATTAGTATATTTCCAAAACATTTCTGGGAGACTAGGGAACTCTATGCCATACCTCCTCTAAATTAAACTGTACATTATATGCCTCATTTTTCTCTTATAGCTTCTATCACTGGAAAGCAGCTCAGCCATGTTATCTTTAAACTTCATTTCTATGGTAAAGAGAGCTCTTCATTTACAAAATATTTTGTGATCATTAAACTACAGAAACATGACTAGCATTGTTAAATGGTCAATAGCTGAGGACCTACAAAATATCTTTAAAAAGCCTCAAAGCATTTGTGCACTGCGCCTCTAGGGCTACATGCTGCCTAGAGAAATTATCTAACTAGTTTGGCATCTCTCCAGAAGACTGGTTACCAAACTGCATTGGGTTCATGCTGAACTAGCAGTTATTTCACAAGGATTTTCACTAGTGCTAATCTGCATGTGTGGAATTCCTGTTCAGAGGTTGTTTTTCTGAGCTGTTTAGTTGAGCCAGATTACAAATTGACTCTGTTTGGTGTGAACAGAAACCTATTTACAATGCAGATCTCTCAAGCCAATTTTCTGGTTAAATTTCATCCATTAAATTTTTTCTATTCTTATATAAAAAACGTGTCTACAGGGCATTTACCTTTTTACATTTCAAATTGTAAAGTGGTGATGTGGACTGCCTTGAAATCTTGGAAAAGTTTAAATTTCCTTCTAGAAATTAATCATAAGATCACATAGTATCTTTAATTTTTAAATTGTTATTAATTAATTTATTTATTTTAGAGATGGGGTCTTGCTATATTGCCCAGGCTGAACTCAAGCTCCCGGACTCAAGCATCCTTCCTTACCACTGTTTTTAATTAATTCATAATTATAAAAAGAAGTACTAAAAATTCATTTATATGCCTAAGACAAACAGATTTGTCGGAATTATGATTTTAAGTATTGGTAAATTAGGACAGATTTCTAAAATTTATGTTCATAGAGTTTTGTTGTTGTTGTTAAGGGACCCACTTTTATGTTGGTCATTAATATGAATTAAATATTACTTCCTCATAGAAACCCTAATGATTTTTCTTTTGGTCAAACATAGACCTAGGTTTGTTTCTTAGACTATGCTATTAATTTTGTGTCATCACAGAAAGTAGCCCAGTCTTATTTTGAGATTGGTTTATTTTCCCTGGACATTTGGGATGAATAGCTCAGCATAACAGATTATTCTATATACTTTAGTTTCAAGCATTTAAAGTGGAGTCCAAGTTTTAGCATCAGGAACCAATTAAATGATAGTTAAATCTGACTGAAAAATTAATGGTCCAGAACAGAAACTGTGTAGCTTTTTTTTTTTCAGCACTTCTGTTTTAAATAAAAATCTGGATGCTTCCCAGTAAAACACAAAGCGTCATTAAAAAAAAAGCAGTTGAATATAAATAAAACCACACCCAGTCTTAAAAATCATTTAATGATGATTGTATTCTTAGTCTGCTATTAAACACAAGGTGTTTATCAGCCTTCATGGGCTGCTAAGAGTTTGGCTACAAAACACATAGCACTGTGGGGCAATGTAGGATTGCAGTGCTACTGTGCCTCTTTAGGGTGAGTATGGTTTGCTCTTCAATGTGATTATTCTATAGTCAAATCATCTAGCATGATTGTGATAGCATCTGATTTGTGCCATAGGCGTCAATCAGATTTATGCTAATATTTTGTACTAATGATCAATATAACAGCAGAGAAAAGTGTTGATGTTCAGCCCACTGACTTAAACCTTACTAACGGGCCTTGACAGAACATAGTGGCCTTAGATTTTATGTGAGTAGAAGAGTTCAGGCTTGAACATTTGGCTGCCGCTTCAAGCACCCTACACAGAAAGTCAGTATAGTACCTTTAATCTGGCTCTAATTCAAACCTATCAGTAATCACTGAGCCTGCTGTACTTATTCTGTCAGTCTTTTTGCCAAAAAGATTTCATGGGTAGCAATATCAGAAGCATTTTTGTAATTAAATTATTGTCGCTTTACTGGAAAATCTCCTTACATTTGCAAAGGGTGAATGTGTTCTTATTTCCCCCACTCCCTACTTGACTTGTAGTTTACGCAGGCACTTTTGGCTGCGTGCGTTTCCAGCCTAATGGCCTCCTTACCGCAATATTCATTTTGGTTGGGTTACTCCAGCCATCATTTTCCAGAGACAGTCATAATCCCTCAATGATGACAGAAGTCATTTGATCTTGGGGAACAAGAAATAAAACGAGCAACAATAATTTCTTTAGGACCATTTTACGGGTTTTTAAGAGAATAAATTCTGTGATAAGTTAGACTCTGTGCTTCTAACTTGGGTCACAGCATCTTAACATTTTTCCTGCGGGAACTAAAGAGCATACTGTACAATATGAAAAGTAGCCTTTCGTAGACCGCCACTCCCTTCTCTGAGTTCTGGTGTATCTTATCACTTCTCACGAATAGGACTGCCATTCGGCGCTTATATATCTGCCTCTTTCATGGCATCTTAACTTCTTTGAGGCCCGTGACATTAGTTACGTGGTTACGCAGTTGTTAGCGATGACTGCCTGGCCCATAGCAGGTGCTCATTGTATGCTTGATGCATGAGTGGATAAAAATACTCATTCTGGTCCTGGGCCAGATCTATTTCTTGCTTTCCTCAGTTTTGGCCTATGCCTCAGGGAAGCTGACCCCAGTAGCGTGCATTTCTCAGGCTCCCACACATCGGGCATTAGGAAGCAGTGGCAGGAGACAGAAGGGAAGGAAGAAGGGAAAATCCAGGGTCTTTCTCTGCTCGATCTGCATTGGGGTGGGGGGGCGGGGTGCACAACCTTTGAGACTTAAGCTCACGCTGGATAGGCTGCAGTGATTCCAACTTCTTTTGGGTGACACCATTCACTGGGCTCTGATAATAGTGCTTCCGCCCTTACTCCCGCAGCACTGGGAGTGGCTCCCTCGTCTTACTGATTTTTGGCTTTCTTCACTTTCCCCAGTTTGGTTTCTCAGCAATTTTATCACCTGTGTAACCCATTCCTTGCACGAAATTCCTTCTGTTTTAAATACTTATCGTCTGTTCAGTGTTGTATTGTCATACAAAGTTGAAATTACACCTCCCAACCTTAAACCTTTTTAATAAAGAGGGACTTGCCTTATACTTTAGGGGCACATAGTTGCCTGGGATCTTTGCTCACACTGCAGAGTCTCCAAAGTGTACCTACACTGAGGGGAGAGTTAAGAGGTTCCTTTGGGGATCTTATGCCTGCACTTTCTGGAAATACCTAATCCTTACATATTGTGATAATATTCTTGCTTTTGTCCTTTATTTGGAATTATTGCCGCATATTTTAAGCGTGTTCTTATGATATTAGGGGATATCCTTCCTTCCTAATGTGAAGGGGCATCCCCAATCTGCCTTAGTAATTTGACATAGTAGGGCTATAGAGTCACAGAACAACTGAGAGTGGCTCTTACAGACAGAGAAAAGACAGGATTCTGTCATTGGCAGTTTGTCCAGGTTCTGAAGGTGAGAAAGGCCTAGATCGGTTTTAAATGTATGTAATTTCTTTAAAAATTTCTGTCATACACTACGTAGTTGTATAGCTCTTGGAATAAGCACATGGAGTGGTGAAATTCCCCTAGATAGCACCCCCAAATTCTGGCACTTTAAAATTCTTTGTAAACTTTCACAATGAGCTGAAAGTTAATTCAAACCTACATAGATTCTATGCCTCCCTTTTCTCATCTTTGTAGCTCTCCTTTATTCTTCACAGGGGGATGGGAAGAGAAAGGAATCCGGCTGACATCAAATTATGAATATTGGTTTAAGTTCTTAACAAGCTTGCATTTCACATGCACAGCTAACCCACAAAAGACACTGGATTTTCCAAGGGGTTAGTTTCAAATCTACAAGAATGAGGGATTTCAGCACAGCCCTCTGTCTTACTTTCTTGCATGGATTTGGCCATGCAGCCAGGCAATGGTGGTGTGGTTAGCTGTCTGTTGTCGGGAAAGGAGTCATCTAATGGAGGACTCCTTAATAAAACTCCTTAATAAAACGTGAAATTTTAGTACTGAGTCTGATTTTTATCATTCATAATCCTGTGTTTATTCAGGACATTCAAATGCTTTTGGGGGAGAAAACTGTTATCTGTGTGGGTTGAATTGGGCTAAATGATAAAAAGAAATTACCTTACTGAACTACTTATTTCCACAAGAATTTCAGAACTTTAGATCTAAAAGGGATTTAAAAAATCTTCTGATTCAATCTTTTTATTTCTTTCAGGTAAGAAAATTCAGACTCAGACACATTAAGAACAGCTGGCTTGTAGCAGAATAGAGATTAAAATCTAGAATGATTTTCATCTTGCTACCTTTAATTAAAAACTTGTTACTTTCAGTTTACGCACCTTAGCTCTCAAGCCTGATTTTCTTTCCTGTATCTTGACCTTAAACGTATCAGGTCTGGCCCAGATTCTTTATGGGAGACAATCAAAAATGAAAAGTGCACACAGAGCACATAGGGCTTGAAGACCTGTTATGGGGCATGGATGTGCTTGACAGGGAAGCAGGGAAGAAGTAGCAAGGCAACCGGGAGCACTTTTGAGTTTCCTCTCTTTGCCAGGCATGAGAAGACCACTTGGTGTGCATTTTAGATGGTGCTGAGATGGGATCAACAAAGGTGGAGTGTGCAAAAGATGAGAGACATTGGGCAATGTGGAAATGAAGAATAGGATTATTGCTCGGAAGGATTATGGTTGTGTTTAATAGGAATAACCAAAGCAAACAATGATCACATTTGTTGTCCTTCACCTTGTCAAATAGTGATTTAGGGGCTAGGGAAGTATATCACCTCTGAGGTTGCTACAACATCCTTTTCTGCCCACCTTCTCCAGAACTTAGTATTATAACAATAGACACATGAAAGCTCCAGTTTGCTTAAACAATAGCATCTCTATTTAAATATCTATTCACTAAAGTGATAAATCTCCTCATTTGGGAAAGGTAATTTCTTGTAAGTACAAGGAAACAAACAAGTATTTGGAATATGAGCTACTGCTATTATTTCAGAGTAAATAATTCTTTTTTGTTTTCATTTTTTTTTTTTTACATTTTTAACCTAGAATATTACTCCACTGTATAGTGAACATTTATGGTTAAATTTTCCCATGACTTTCTATGCTATAGGCCTCGATTAGGTATTCTGTTCTCATTCAATAAAAGCTTTTCACTGAAAATAAATGTCATTATGTTGTAATGAGTTTCAATATCTACTGACCTTACCTGGATTTTGGAGGGTGAGTTGGCTGTGAGCGATTCAGCACCTCTTTATCCTTCCCTTGAGACACTAATTACTCATTAAATTTTCTTTTTATCCTTTTTGCTATATTTCAAAAATGCCAAATATAAAGATTTTTGAAAAATGAGAAACTAGTGGAAATGTCTGCAAGTGTTTCTTTTAACTTAAAAATATAGATAGCCAAGTGAGAAAGATATAATGCAAACTTTGGGGTCTTTATTTTAGCTGGTTATATCTAGATCTGACTGAAATTGGGTATTCCGAGTTTCATCCTGAAGCAAATTTCTATAGCTGAGTTATAAGTCCCTGAAAAATGAGGTTTATGATGAAAATGTTGAAAGACCCTCAACTTTAGGACAAGGCACAACTATAATTTTACAGGCATTAGGCACCTAAAATAACTTTGTATGAAGATTACTCTGGGATTTGTCCCCCATTGTGTAGAAAATGCTTAATGTTGAACTATATTTTATGCACACAAAAAGACTTACTTCATAAGACAAGGAGCACAGGGATTTTCATTCCAATATTCAACAATACTATTACTAAAGGGCTCTCTCCTTCTACTCTCATAATTGAGTGATCTTAAGTGATATTTAAAAGAAAATATCATTCCGCTAAACTTACATGTAAAGATGATATGTGGCAGAGCAATTTAAAATTTTCAAGCAGAATGTATTCCAGCAATGTATTTGGTATGTCATGAAACTGAATGGATGGATCATAATAATGTCTTAATATTCTATTCTATAGCAACAAAGAAAATGAGTGTTTAGTTTTGCTTGTGTAGAGCAATAGCTGAAGTGCTTATATCTGAGTCTGCAGTGCAATAAAAAATATATATATATATTTTTTTCTTAGAGACCTTGCTTTTATTGATTTTGGATACATACCCAAAAGTGGGATTGTGCCTGTTAGATTGCATTTCTTTTTTTTTAATTAATTAATTTATTTTTTAAATTATTATACTTTAAGTTTTAGGGTACATGTGCACATTGTGCAGGTTAGTTACATATGTATACATGTGCCATGCTGGTGTGCTGCACCCACTAACTCGTCATCTAGCATTAGGTATATCTCCCAATGCTATCCCTTCCCCTCCCCCCACCCCACAACAGTCCCCAGAGTATGATGTTCCCCTTCCTGTGTCCATGTGATCTCATTGTTCAATTCCCACCTATGAGTGAGAATATGCTGTGTTTGGTTTTTTGTTCTTGTGATAGTTTACTGAGAATGATGATTTCCAATTTCATCCATGTCCCTACAAAGGACATGAACTCATCATTTTTTATGGCTGCATAGTATTCCATGGTGTATATGTGCCACATTTTCTTAATCCAGACTATCATTGTTGGACATTTGGGTTGGTTCCAAGTCTTTGCTATTGTGAATAATGCCGCAATAAACATATGTGTGTATGTGTCTTTATAGCAGCATGATTTATAGTCCTTTGGGTATATACCCAGTAATGGGATGGCTGGGTCAAATGGTATTTCTAGTTCTAGACCCCTGAGGAATCGCCACACTGACTTCCACAATGGTTGAACTAGTTTACAGTCCCACCAACAGTGTAAAAGTGTTCCTATTTCTCCACATCCTCTCCAGCACCTGTTGTTTCCTGACTTTTTAATGATTGCCATTCTAACTGGTGTGAGATGGTATCTCATTGTGGTTTTGATTTGCATTTCTCTGATGGCCAGTGATGGTGAGCATTTTTTCATGTGTTTTTTGGCTGCATAAATGTCTTCTTTTGAGAAGTGTCTGTTCATGTCCTTCACCCACTTTTTGATGGGGTTGTTTTTTTTCTTGTAAATTTGTTTGAGTTCATTGTAGATTCTGGATATTAGCCCTTTGTCAGATGAGTAGGTTGCGAAAATTTTCTCCCATTCTGTAGGTTGCCTGTTCACTCTGATGGTAGTTTCTTTTGCTGTGCAGAAGCTCTTTAGTTTAATTAGATCCCATTTGTCAATTTTGGCTTTTGTTGCCATTGCTTTTGGTGTTTTACACATGAAGTCCTTGCCCATGCCTATGTCCTGAATGGTAATGCCTAGGTTTTCTTCTAGGGTTTTTATGGTTTTAGGTCTAATATTTAAGTCTTTAATCCATCTTGAATTAATTTTTGTATAAGGTATAAGGAAGGGATCCAGTTTCAGCTTTCTCCATAAGGCTAGCCAGTTTTCCCAGCACCATTTATTAAATAGGGAATCCTTTCCCCATTGCTTGTTTTTCTCAGGTTTGTCAAAGATCAGATAGTTGTAGATATGTGGCGTTATTTCTGAGGGCTCTGTTCTGTTCCATTGATCTATATCTCTGTTTTGGTACCAGTACCATGCTGTTTTGGTTACTGTAGCCTTGTAGTATAGTTTGAAGTCAGGTAGTGTGATGCCTCCAGCTTTGTTCTTTTGGCTTAGGATTGACTTGGCGATGCGGGGTCTTTTTTGGTTCCATATGAACTTTAAAGTAGTTTTTTCCAATTCTGTGAAGAAAGGCATTGGTAGCTTGATGGGGATGTCACTGAATCTGTAAATTACCTTGGGCAGTATGGCCATTTTCACAATATTGATTCTTCCTACCCATGAGCATGGAATGTTCTTCCATTTGTTTGTATCCTCTTTTATTTCCTTGAGCAGCGGTTTGTAGTTCTCCTTGAAGAGGTCCTTCACATCCCTTGTAAGTTGGATTCCTAGGTACTTTATTCTCTTTGAAGCAATTGTGAATGGGAGTTCACTCATGATTTGGCTCTCTGTTTGTCTGTTGTTGGTGTATAGGAATGCTTGTGATTTTTGTACATTGATTTTGTATCCTGAGACTTTGCTGAAGTTGCTTATCAGCTTAAGGAGATTTTGGGCTGAGACAATGGGGTTTTCTAGATATACAATCATGTCATCTGCAGACAGGGACAATTTGACTTCCTCTTTTCCTAATTGAATACCCTTTATTTCCTTCTCCTGCCTAATTGCCCTGGCCAGAACTTCCAACACTATGTTGAATAGGAGTGGTGAGAGAGGGCATCCCTGTCTTGTGCCACTTTTCAAAGGGAATGCTTCCAGTTTTTGCCCATTCAGTATGATATTGGCCATGGGTTTGTCATAGATAGCTCTTATTATTTTGAAATATGTCCCATCAATACCTAATTTATTGAGAGTTTTTAGCATGAACGGTTGTTGAATTTTGTCAAAGGCCTTTTCTGCATCTATTGAGATAATCATGTGGTTTTTGTCTTTGGCTCAGTTTATATGCTGGATTACATTTATTGATTTGCGTATATTGAACCAGCCTTGCATCCCAGGGATGAAGCCCACTTGATCATGGTGGGTAAGCTTTTTGATGTGCTGCTGGATTCGTTTTGCCAGTATTTTATTGAGGATTTTTGCATCAATGTTCATCAAGGATATTGGTCTAAAATTCTCTTTTTTGGTTGTGTCTCTGCCCGGCTTTGGTATCACAATGACGCTGGCCTCATAAAATGAGTTAGGGAGGATTCCTTCTTTTTCTATTGATTGGAATAGTTTCAGAAGGAATGGTACCAGTTTCTCCTTGTACATCTGGTAGAATTCGGCTGTGAATCCATCTGGTCCTGGACTCTTTTTGGTTGGTAAAATTCTCTAAAATTCTCTTTTTTGGTTGTGTCTCTGCCCGGCTTTGGTATCAGAACGACGCTGGCCTCATAAAATGAGTTAAGGAGGATTCCCTCTTTTTCTATTGATTGGAATAGTTTCAGAAGGAATGGTACCAGTTCCTCCTTGTACCTCTGGTAGAATTCGGCTGTGAATCCATCTGGTCCTGGACTCTTTTTGGTTGGTAAGCTATTGATTATTGCCACAATTTCAGAGCCTGTTAATGGTCTATTCAGAGATTCAACTTCTTCCTGGTTTAGTCTTGGGAGAATGTATGTGTCAAGGAATTTATCCATTTCTTCTAGATTTTCTAGTTTATTTGCGTAGAGGTGTTTGTAGTATTCTCTGATGGTAGTTTGTATTTCTGTGGGATTGGTGGTGATATCCCCTTTATCATTTTTTATTGCATCTATTTGATTCTTCTCTCTTTTTTTCTTTATTATTCTTGTTAGCGGTCTATCAATTTTGTTGATCCTTTCAAAAAACCAGCTCCTGGATTCATTAATTTTTTGAAGGGTTTGTTGTGTCTCTATTTCCTTCAGTTCTGCTCTGATTTTAGTTATTTCTTGCCTTCTGCTAGCTTTTGAATGTGTTTGCTCTTGCTTTTCTAGTTCTTTTAATTGTGATGTTAGGGTGTCAATTTTGGATCTTTCCTGCTTTCTCTTGTGGGCATTTAGTGCTATAAATTTCCCTCTACACACTGCTTTGAATGCATCCCAGAGATTCTGGTATGTTGTGTCTTTGTTCTCATTGGTTTCAAAGAACATCTTTATTTCTGCCTTCATTTCATTATGTACCCAGTAGTCATTCAGGAGCAGGTTGTTCAGTTTCCATGTAGTTGAGCGGTTTTGAGTGAGATTCTTAATCCTGAGTTCTAGTTTGATTGCACTGTAGTCTGAGAGATAGTTTGTTATAATTTCTGTTCTTTTACATTTGCTGAGGAGAGCTTTACTTCCAACTATGTGGTCAATTTTGGAATAGGTGTGGTGTGGTGCTGAAAAAAATGTATATTCTGTTGATTTGGGGTGGAGAGTTCTGTAGATGTCTATTAGTTCTGCTTGGTGCAGAGCTGAGTTCAATTCCTGGGTATCCTTGTTGACTTTCTGTCTCATTGATCTGTCTAATGTTGACAGTGGGGTGTTAAAGTCTCCCATTATTAATGTGTGGGAGTCTAAGTCTCTTTGTAGGTCACTGAGGACTTGCTTTATGAATCTGGGTGCTCCTGTATTGGGTGCATATATATTTAGGATAGTTAGTTCTTCTTGTTGAATTGATCCCTTTACCATTATGTAATGGTCTTCTTTGTCTCTTTTGATCTTTGTTGGTTTAAAGTCTGTTTTATCAGAGACTAGGATTGCAACCCCTGCCTTTTTTTGTTTTCCATTTGCTTGGTAGATCTTCCTCCATCCTTTCATTTTGAGCCTATGTGTATCTCTGCACGTGAGATGGGTTTCCTGAATACAGCACACTGATGGGTCTTGACTCTTTATCCAATTTTCCAGTCTGTCTTTGAATTGGAGCATTTAGTCCATTTTCATCTAAAGTTAATATTGTTATGTGTGAATTTGATCCCGTCATTATGATGTTAGCTGGTTATTTTGCTCGTTAGTTGATGTAGTTTCTTCCTAGTCTGGATGGTCTTCACATTTTGGCATGATTTTGCAGCGGCTGGTACTGGTTGTTCCTTTCCATGTTTAGCGCTTCCTCCAGGAGCTCTTTTAGGGCAGGCCTGGTGATGACAAAATCTCTCAGCATTTGCTTGTCTGTAAAGTATTTTATGTCTCCTTCACTTATGAAGCTTAGTTTGGCTGGATATGAAATTGTGGGTTGAAAATTCTTTTCTTTAAGAATGTTGAATATTGGCCCCCACTCTCTTCTGGCTTGTAGGGTTTCTGCCGAGAGATCTGCTGTTAGTCTGATGGGCTTCCCTTTGAGGGTAACCCGACCTTTCTCTCTGGCTGCCCTTAACATTTTTTCCTTCATTTCAACTTTGGTGAATCTGACAATTATGTGTCTTGGAGTTGCTCTTCTCGAGGAGTATCTTTGTGGCATTCTCTGTATTTCCTGAATCTGAACGTTGGCCTGCGTTGCTAGATTGGGGAAATTCTCCTGGATAATATCCTGCAGAGTGTTTTTCAACTTGGTTCCATTCTCCCCATCACTTTCAGGTACACCAATCAGACGTAGATTTGGTCTTTTCACATAGTCCCGTATTTCTTGGAGGCTTTGCTTGTTTCTTTTTATTCTTTTTTCTCTAAACTTTCCTTCTCGCTTCATTTCATTCATTTCATCTTCCATTGCTGATACCCTTTCTTCCAGTTGATCGTATTGGCTCCTGAGGCTTCTGCATTCTTCACGTAGTTCTTGAGCCTTGGTTTTCAGCTGCATCAGCTCCTTTAAGCACTTCTCTGTATTGGTTATTCTAGTTATACATTCTTCTAAATTTTTTTCAAAGTTTTCAACTCCTTTGCCTTTGGTTTGAATGTCCTCCCGTAGCTCAGAGTAATTTGATTGTCTGAAGCCTTCTTCTCTCAGCTTGTCAAAGTCATTCTCTGTCCAGCTTTGTTCCATTGCTGGTGAGGAGCTGCGTTCCTGTGGAGGAGGAGAGGCGCTCTGATTTTTAGAGTTTCCAGTTTTTCTGTTCTGTTTTTTCCCCATCTTTGTGGTTTTATCTACTTTTGATCTTTGATGATGGTGATATACAGATGGGTTTTTGGTGTGGATGTCCTTTCTGTTTGTTAGTTTTCCTTCTAACAGACAGGACCCTCAGCTGCAGGTCTGTTGGAGTACCCTGCCGTGTGAGGTGTCAGTGTGCCCCTGCTGGAGGGTGCTTCCCAGTTAGGCTGCTCGGGGGTCAGGGGTCAGGGACCCACTTGAGGAGGCAGTCTGCCCGTTCTCAGATCTCCAGCTGCGTACTGGGAGAACCACTGCTCTCTTCAAAGCTGTCAGACAGGGCCATTTAAGTCTGCAGAGGTTACTGCTGTCTTTTTGTTTGTCTGTGCCCTGCCCCCATAGGTGGAGCCTACAGAGGCAAGCAGGCCTCCTTGAGCTGTGGTGGGCTCCACCCAGTTTGAGCTTCCCGGCTGCTTTGTTTACCTAAGCAAGCCTGGGTAATGGTGGGCGCCCCTCCCCCAGCCTCGCTGCCGCCTTGCAGTTTGATCTCAGACTGCTGTGCTAGCAATCAGCGAGACTCCGTGGGGTAGGACCCTCCGAGCCAGGTGCGGGATATAATCTCGTGGTGCGCCATTTTTTAAGCCCATTGGAAAAGCGCAGTATTCGGGTGGGAGTGACCCGATTCTCCAGGTGCCGTCAGTCACCCCTTTCTTTGATTGGGTAAGGGAACTCCCTGACCCTTTGCTTCCCGAGTGAGGCAATGCCTCGCCCTGCTTCAGCTCGTGCACGGTGCGCGCACCCACTGTCCTGTGCCCACTGTCTGGCACTTCCTAGTGAGATGAACCCGGTACCTCAGATGGAAATGCAGAAATCACCTGTCTTCTGCGTCGCTCAGGCTGGGAGCTGTAGACTGGAGCTGTTCCTATTCGGCCATCTTAGCTCCTCCAATATTTTTGTCTAATGAAAAATCCCTAACACTGGAAAATCCTTGCCTATCTTTTGTTTCTTTGTTTATTTTTGGCTTTGTTTGTTTTCAGAGAAAAAGGAATGCTTAAAACAATAACAAATAGGAATGTTTAGATTTGACACAACTTTCTTGGTGATTTAGGCCAATTTTTTTTTTAAGAAGGAAAAATATTGATTAACTTCTAAACTTAAGATACCTGGTTTGGGTATAATTCAGATGAAAACATAAAAGCAAGTTTGCTTTAAAAAACCTTTTAAAAAAGTTATTTTTTATTGACAAAATTTATATATTTATTGCATACAACATGGTGTTTTGAAATATGTATACATTATGAAATGGCTAAAACAAGTTACTTAACATACCATTACCTCATATACTCTTTTTTTTTTTTTTTTGTGGTGGAAACACTTAAAATCTACTCTCTTGGCAATTCTCAAGAATATAGTGTATTGTTATTAACTATATATACAATAAATCTCTTAAACTTCTTCCTTCTGCTTTTGTATCCTTTGACCAACATCAGCCCAACCCCATCCTCCCACCCCCCTCCTCTGGTAAACATCATTCTACTCTCTACTCTATGAGTTCAACTTTTAAAAATTTATTAAAAAATAAAAGTTAGATAATGTCTTTCTTTTCTTTTTCTTGATCAGATTGGCTAGAGGTTATCCATTTTATTATCATTTAAAAGCATTAGCTTTGAGCTGGGTTGATTTTTTGCTATTTTTTTTCTGTTTTCTATTTATTGCTTTCTACTTATTTCTTTATTATCTCTTCCTCCTGCTTACTTTGGTGTAATTTCTTCTCTTTCTGTTTTCTTAAGGAGGAAGCTTAGATCCTATATGTGTCTCTTATTTTCTAATACAGTTACTTAATGCCATAGAAATCCCCCGAAGCCCTGCTTTAGCTGTGTACTACAATTTTTGTTTAGGTTTAGTTTTTAGTTTCATTTGGTTCAAAATACTGGTCTTCTTTGTGACTTTTTGACTTATATTTAATTTAGAAATTTGTTAATTTCCAAGTATTGGAGGTTTTCAAGGAATTTTTCGGATATTCATTTCTGTTTAATTTCCTTGTGTCAGAGGCCATATTTTGTGTGATTTCAACTCCCTTACATTGTTAAGATTTGTTTTATGGCCCAGAGTCTAATAAATTGTAGTTTAAAAATGTGTGTTCTACTGTTGTTGGGTGGGGTTGGCTGGCAGTGTTGGTCACATCTTTTATATTCTTACGCATTTTCATTTACTTATTCTCTTACTTACTGACAGGTTTTTTTGAACTCTCTAACCACACTTGTGGATTTTTCTATTTCTTCTTTCATGCCTACCAGTTTTCGCCTGTGTGTTTTAAAGTTCCATTATTAGGTACCTACATATTTAGTATTGTTATGTCTTCTTGATTAATTTTATTCCTTTAGCATTATTGAATGGTCCTCTTTATCTTGGTAATATTTCTTGTACTGAAATCTACATTGTCTTTATTATAAAATCACTCTGGTATTCTCTTGATTAGTATTTGCATAGCTTTTCCCATCCTTTTACTTTTAATAAGTGTGGTTCTTTCAGGCTGCTTTTATTTTGGTCTTGCTTCTTAAAATCCAAATTTTAGTATGATAATCTCTGATTTTTGTGTGTAGACCACTTGAATTTAATACAATTATTGACATGATTGTACACAGATACAACAGTTTGCTCTTTTTCTGTTTCTTTTCTGCTTCTATTTGTTCTGTTTCTTTTTTTCTCTTTTCATTTGTATTGCATATGTTTATGATTTCATTTTAACACAACTATTAGCTATATACATATCTTTCCAATCAGAGTGCACCTTTAAATAGTATTGTTCTACTTCATATGCAGTCTAAGAACCTTAAAATAGTACACTTTTATTTCCTCCCTCCAATTCTTTGTGCTATTGTCATAAATTTTACTTCTACTCAGGTTATACATCCTACAATACATTGCTACTGCTTTTGCTTTCGTTATTTTTAAATAATTTAAATAACTATAAAAAATTAAATAATTAAAAATTTTAAATATTTACCCTAATTCTCCTGTTTTGATTCTCTCAATTTCTTTGTGTAGATCCAAATTCCCATCTGGTTTGACCATATCCTTTCTGCTTGAAGAACTTCATTTAATATTTCTTGTGGTACAGGCATTTTGGCAATAAATTCTCTCTGCTTTTGTTTGTCTGGAAAAAATTCTTTATTTCAAAGAAATAGTTTCATTGGATATATAGATTCTTAATTTACAGTTTTTCACTTTTCTGTACTTTAAAGATGGTACTCCATTGTCTTCTGGTTTGCTTATAGTTTCTAATAAGAAATCTGTGATAATTCTTTATTTGTTTTTCTGTATGTAGTTTTTTTTTCCAGCTACTTTCAAGATTTTTCTCTCTGTTTTTAGTTTTTAGCAAGTTAACTCTGATGCTTCTTCTTCATTTGTTTTTTAAATTTTGTTAATCCTGTTTGGGTTCCCCAAGTATCTTGCATTATGCATTATGTTTTTTGTTATCTTTTGTCAGTTTAGAAATGTGTGTGTATATATATACATTTATAAATACATAAATATATATATGAAAATGTGTGTGTATATATATTTACATATACATTTTAAATGTATGTGTGTATTTACATATACATTTTAAATATATGTGTGTATATATACATTCAAAATATTTTATATATACATTTAAAATACTATATATATATATATAAAAACTATATATATATAGTTTTTCTTTTTTTTTTGAGAAGGAGTCTTGCTCTGTTGCCCAGGCTGGGGTTTAGTGGGGCAATCTCGGCTCACTGCAAACTCCACCTCCTGGGCCCAAGTGATTTTCCTGCCTCAGCCTCCCCAGTAGCTGAGATTCAGGTGCCGACCACCACGCCCGGCTAATTTTTGTATGTTAGTACAGATGGTGTTTCACCATTTTGGCCAGGCTGGTCTTGAACTCCTGACCTCAAGAGATTGGCCCACCTCAGCCTCCCAAAGTGCTGGGATTACAGGTGTGAGCCAATGTGCCCGGTCTGAAATGTATATTTTTAAAATACTTTTTTTCCTGTCATGTTTTTTCTTCTCTTTTTAGGAATCTACTTATACAATTAAACTCTCTGAGATTGACCCAAGCCTTCTGAGTTAAAAAAAACAAAAACTGTATTTTCTATTCATGTTTCACTTTGGATAGTTACTATTTACCTATCTTTAATTCTTTACTCTGTTGTGTTTGCTGATAAAACTGACAAATGAATTTCCATCTTCGATATTGTGTTTTTAATTTCTATAATTTGCATTTGGCTCTTCTTTATAGTTTCAATCTCTGTGCTGAAAATCCTAATTTATTGAGGCATGTTTCCCATTTTTTCCTCTTGATCCTTTAACATATTAATTATGATCTCAAAAATGTCCTTGTCTGATCGTTCTAATAGCTGAATCATCTCTGGATCTGGTTCTGTTGTCTAATCTCGACAAAGGTTTTTTTTTTGGTTGTTTTTCTTTTCATTTTGTGCAAAGTAGATTGTATTATTTTTTAAATTGTATATTGACAAATTATAGTTGTATATATTTATATAAATGGTCTTATGACTTTTGAATACAATGTGGAATGATTAAACTAAGCTAATTAACATATCTATTACTTCAAATATTTAACTTCTTTTGTCATGAGAACATTAGGAATTTATTCTCTTAGTGATACGGAAAGGTACAATATTTAATTATTAGCTATATTCAGCATGCGGTACTATTGATCTAAAAAAAATTAAACTCATTCCTCTTATCTAACTGAGACTTTGTATCCTTTGACTATCATCTCCGGATTTGTGTCTTTGACTATCATCTCCTGATTCCCCCCAACCCCCTGCCTCTGGTAACCACCATTCTACCCTCTGCTTCTATGAGTTCAGTTGTTTTAGATTTCACATATAAGTGAGAACATGCAGTATTTATCTTTCAATGTTTGGCTTATTTCACTTAGCATAATATTCTCTAATTCTACCCATGTTGTTCCAAACAACAGAATTTCTTTCTTTTTAAAGGTTGAATAGTATTTCATTTTGTATATATACCACACTTTCTTTATCCATTTATTCCTTTATGGACACTTAGGTTGATTCCATAATTTGGCTATTGTGAATAGTGCTGCAATGAACATGGGGATACAGGCAGGCATCTCTTCAACACACTGATTTTTAAATCTTTCGGGTATCAGAAATTGTATTACTAAATGATGTGGTAATTCTATTTTTAGTTTTTTGAGGAACCTCCATACCATGTTCCATGTTTGTACTAATTTGCATTCCCACCAACAGTGTACAAGGATTCCCTTTCCTCCAAATCCTTGCTAACACCTGTCTTTTGTTGCTTTCATAGTAGCCATTCTAACAGTTGTGAGGTGCTATCTCATTGTGGTTTTAATTTGCATCTCTTTAATGATTAGTGATGTTGAGCATTTTTTCATATATCTGAAGTCATTTGTATGTCTTCTTTTGAGAAATGTCTATTTAGATCCTTTGCCCATTTCTTAATTGGGTAATTTGTTTTCTTTTTAGAGGGTTGTTTGAGTTTCTTATATATTTTATATATTGATCCATTATTAGATGTATGGCTTGCAGATATTTTCTCCCAATCCATAGGTTGTCTCTTCACTCTGTTAATTGTTTCCTTTGATGTGCTTTTTATTTTAATGTAATCGCATTTGTCTATCTTTGCTTTTGTTGCCTAACCTTTGGGGTCAAACCTAAAAAATAATCGCCTAGACCAATGTTGTGTAGTTTCTCCCCTGTGTTTTTTTTTCTAGTAGTTTTACAGTTTTAGATCTTACATTTATGTCTTTAATCTATTTTGAGTTAGTTTTTCTATGTGGTGTAAAATAAGGGTCCAATTTCATTCTTTTCCCTATAGACACCCAGTTTTCCCAACACCATTTGTTGTTCCAATTGGATATTCTTGGCACCTTTGTTGAAAATCAAGAGACCACAGATGAATGTGTTCTTTTCTGGATTCTGTATAGTGTCCCATTGGCTGCTATGTCTATTTTTATGCCAGTACCATGCTGTTTTAGTTACTATTGATTTGTAGTATAGTTTGAAATCTAATAGTGTAATGCCTCCAACTATTTTCTTTTTGCAAATAATTGACTTAGTTATTTGTAATTTTTTTGAGAGGTTTCATAAGAATTTTAAAAACTTTTTCTACATCTGTGAGAAGTGACATTAAAATTTTGATAGAGTTTGCTTTGAACCTGTAGGTCACTTTGGGCAGTATGGACATTTTAACAATATTAATCCTTCCAATTCATGAACATGAGAGATATTTTTATTTATTTATGTTTTCTTGAATTTCTTTCATTAATGTTTTATAGTTTTTAGTGACAGGTCTTTCACTTCTTAGGTTAAATTTATTCCTAAGTACATTTTTTTTTGTAGCGATTGTAAATAAGACGGTTCTCCTGATTTCTTTTTCAGAAACTTCATTGTTAGTGTAGAGAAACACTACTGATTTTTGTGTCTTGATTTTGTATCCTGCAACTTTACTGAATTTATCAGTTCTAAGTATTTTTTCTTTTTTATAGAATCTTTAGGTTTTTTTTTAATATATAAGATAACATGGTCTGAAAATAGGGACAATTTATCTCTTCCGTTTTTATTTCCCTGCCTTATTGCCCTGGCTGGGAACTCCAGTACTATATTGAGTAGAAGTGGTAGAAATGGGCATCTTTGTCTTGTTCCAGGTCTTAGAGAAACAGTTTTCAACTTTTCTCCATTGAATATGATGTTAGCTATGAACTTGTCATATATGACCTTTATTGTATTGAGGTACATTTCTTCCATATCTAATTTTTTGAGAGTTTTTTTAATCATAAAAAGATATTAAATTTTGTCAAATGCTTTTCCTGTATCTAGTGAGATAATCATATGATTTTTATCCTTCATCCTATTAATGTGACATATTACATTTATAAATTTGTGTGTGTTAAGCCATCTTTGCATCCTAGGAATTAGTCCCAATTGATTGTAGTGAATAATTCTTTTAATGTGTTGTTGAATTCAGTTTGCTAGTGTTTTGGTGACAGCTTTTGCATCTAGATTTATCAAGGATCTTGGCCTGTAGTTTTCTTTTCTTGTGATGTCCTTTTCTGGCTTTGGTGTCAGGATAATGTTGGTCTTGTAAAAGGAGTTTGGAAGTATTTCCTCTGCTCTGATTTTTTGGAACAATTTGTGGAGAATTGGTATTAGGTCTTTAAATGTTTGATAGAATTCAGCAGTGAAGCCATCAGGTCCTGAGCTGTTTTTTTTGATGGAAGACTTTATATTACAGCTTCAATCTTCTCTTGTTATTGGTCTGTTTGGATTTTTATATTTCTTTGTGATTCGGCCTTGATAAGTTGCATGTGTCTAGAAATGTATTCATTTCTTCTAGATAATCTAATTTTTTGGCACATAATTGTTCATAATAGTTTCTTATGATCCCTTCATTTCCATGATGTCAGTTGTAATGTCTCTTCTTTCATTTCTGATTTTGTTTATTTGAGTCTTTTCTCTTTTTTTCTTGGTTAGTCTAGCTAAAGATTTGTTGATTTTGTTTATCTTTTCAAAAAAACCCAACTCAGTTTCATTGATCTTTTTTATTGCTTTTCTAGTCTCTATTACATTTATTTCTGCTCCAGTCTTCATTATTCCATTCCTTCTGCTAACATCTAACAATTACTTTTTTGTCTGGTAATTTTTTTGTTGACTGTGAAGCTTTTTTTTTTTTTTTTTTTTAGACCAGTAGAGTCTGAAGTAAGTAGAATTAACTCCTAGAAATGGTCTCCTCTTTTTTCAGGCTGTTAATGTAGGGAAGTTGAGCCAATCTGGTTAGTAGCTGAGCTGGGCTTTTTGTTGCTAACATTACCTTTGTGCACTACAGGCTGCAGATTCTTCTAGCTCTGGGTGGCTGCTACCTTGTGCTTACTTTGGGACCTAAAGTGCAGGAAGGTTTTTCTGTGTTCTTGCTTCACTCTCAGCTTTCAGCAGACCCTAAATATCTATGCATAAACGGGGGTTCTTTATGCTCTTGCCCCTCTCTCAGTTGCATATTGCTAGGTACAAAGCTTATGGTAGGGAAAGTGGAGATTTTCTTTGTTCCCTGGTCTCAGCCTCAGTCTTAGTTAGGCCCTATATTCTTGGTCCTCTGTGATGAGGGCTTTATCACCACTCCTGCCTTTCCCTGACATAGTAGCCATATCTTACCTTGCATCTGTCAAAGGTCTTGAATAGGAGAGACAGTCTTTGTTCTTCCTCAGTAGTAGAAGGTCTCTGCCTTCTATTAGTACAGTTGAATAGATTTCCTGTTGTCTGCCTACCCCAATGGGCCAATGGATTTTGCTACTAGTTCTCTCTCAGTAGCTGATGGCTTTGCCTGGGAGTGGAGGTGTACAGTTTTCTATACTCTCCTAACAGCCTCTCACTCAGACAGCTTTTGTGTCTACCATCTCCCAGAAGCAGTGGATCTTTGCCTGGGTAGGAGACTTTTCTGCTTCTCTCTCAGAGGCAAAGGCTTTTGCTTTATTTGAGAGCAGGATCAGAAATGCAGATACAGTTTCAACCCTATGGTTCACCAAGGGGGAAGAGAGGGCTGCCTCAGATCTCTTGTCATGTTCCAGTCTTTCTTGTGAGCAACGAGTAGAGAATCATGGAAAACAACTGAAGAATGCATGTGGATTCCCCACGGGTTTGATCTGCCAAGCAGTCTGAATTGTCCTAGCACACACTTGGCTTTTGTAAAAAAGTGTTGCAGTTTTCTTCTTATCCACTTTTACGTTGGCAGATTCTTCCTTACTCTTCCAAAGATGGAACAGTTCATTATCCCATTTATTTTCAGAAGGGTTTATTGCTCTTTGGAATTTAGTTTTAGTTTGCCTGATTTATTTTGTAACTCTGTGATTTTAGCTCTGATGGGCTTAAGAAGAGTGATATTTTTGTAGATTATCTGCCTTTTTCCTTGCTGTAAGGGTAGGAGTGATGTTCTCTTGTGATGTTTTCAATCCTAAGAGGAGCAGAACTCCATGTCATATGATTTTTAGTATGTGAGTGTGGCCTAGGAGCCAGCTTTCTCAACAAACATAAAATACTAATATAAAAAAATGGAGATTCCTAAGTCTAGTTTTTAGTTTGAGTTTGTATTGACAGTTTGGAATTGATATCCAATTCTACGACCACTAAAATGAAAAGCACATCCTTTTGGTAATAAAATAATTTTGTTGTAGTAATGTTTTTCTTTAAATTAAAAAGATCTGAAACCTAGAGTGGCTTCTTTTCATGTTAATTAGGGTGAAAATCAGGAAGGATGTGATATACTGTCATTTACTTTTACTTAACACTTCCAATTCATTTTAATAGGATAGGAAATACTTGGAATTCAGATCAACACTTCGCTGTCTGTTTGCTGATGAACTGAAATGCTTATATGAGAACAGGGATTTTTCCCAAATGCTTGAATTTAGTTCCCCATTTCCCATTATGTAAGAAAACATTGTTCCTTGTGGTAGGCTGAAAAATGGCTTTCCAAAAGACATTTATGTCCCAGTCCCTGGAACCTGTAAATGTTACCTTTTTGGAAAAGGGTTTTTGCAGGTGTGATTGATTACTTAAGGATTTTGAGATGGAGAGATTATCCTAGATTATCTGGATGAGCCCTGAATGCGATCACAAATACCTTCGTGAGAAGAGCAGAGGGAAATTAGACACACAGAGCGGAAGGTGGATATGAAGATAAGGTAGGTACTGGAATGATGCAGTACTCCACAGGAATGCCGGCAGCCACCTGGAGCAGGAAGACAGGCAAGGAGCAGATTCTCCACTGGAGGCTCCAGAGAATGTACGGCCCTGCTGACACGCTGATTTTGGCCCAGTGAAGCAGATTCAGACTTCTGGCTTCCAGAACTGTGAGATAATAAATTTCCACTGTGTTAAGCCACCATGTCTGTAGAAATTTCTTACAGTGACCATAGGACACTAATACATGTATCTTAGTCTTTAAAAAAAATCTATTTGTGACTGGGCGAGGTGGCTCATGCCTGTAATCCCAGCATTTTGGGAGGCCGAGGCGGGTGGATCACCTGAGGTCAGGAGTTCGAGAACAGCCTGACCAATAAGGTGAAACCCTATCTCTACCAAAAATACAAAAATTAGCCAGGTGTGGTGGCATGTGCCTGTAGTTCCAGATACCCGGGAGGCTGAGACAGGAGAATTGCTTGAACCTGGGAGGGAGAGGTTGCAGTGAGCCGAGATCACACTACTGCACTCCAGCCCGGGCGACAGAGTGAGACTCTGTCTCAAAAAAAAAAAAAAAAAAAAAGATTTGTTTTTATTTTATTATTAAAAAAATTTTGAGTACATAATAGCTGTATATATTGTCTTGACAGAAGAATTTTAATTTGTTTCAATTATCTTATTTGAAATGTCATTGAATAAAAGTCAGTTGTACAAAGTATTTATTTTTAAATTTATTTATTTATTTTTGAGATGGAGTCTTGCTCTGTCGCCCAGGCTGGAGTACAGTGGTACGATCTTGGCTCACTGCAACCTCTGCCTCCCGGGTTCAAGCAAGTCTCCTGCCTCAGCCTCCTGAATAGCTGAGACAATGGGCATGTGCCACTACACCCAGATAATTTGTATTTTTAGTAGAGATGGGGTTTCGCCATGTTGGCCAGGCTGGTCTTGAACTCCTGGCCTCAAGTGATCCACCCGCCTTGGCCCTTCAGAGTGCTGAGATTCCAGGTATGAGCCACTGAGCCCAGGTGAAGTATTTATTTATTATGATTACACCCACAATTGCGAAGTTTTAAAAGTGTTAACTCAATTTACTTAAAAGCAATAAAACATTAGAGAAAATTATGCTTGGCCTGAGATGAAATACATATATTTACAGATTACTCTTATGAGTGATTTGTTGGTAGATTTTTGGATGCTTCTCATTAATCCTGACATGAATTGACACCAATGGTCATACAGTCATACATTTGGGTTCCCACCAAAATAATGACTTAAAGGGAGTCACCTATTCATTGTTGATTTTCAGACAACTTGACACTCCTTCTGGGGTGCCCTAAGCTTCACCACCTGCACACAATTGGGTCTTGTTTACTTTCTCAGGTATCTTCCAGTCAGTTCACAAGATCCATTTATGAGAAAATAAGACAAAGTATTTGATTGTGGACTAAATAGAATGAAAATAAAAGAATAAATGGAAAGTTCTAGAAATGTTTAACTGCCTAAGAACATGGTGTATTGATTATATTTTTCTTCTTCTAGACTTATTGTCACATATTGTATTATGTATCTCCACCATAATTTCTGTCCTTTTCATCCTGCTTTATAATTTTTGGTGCATAGCAGTTGTCTTCTACCATATTATACAAATAATTTTCATTATGTTTTATATTTATCTATCTCTTCTAATTCGACATAAGCTCCAAGAGGGTAGGATCTTTCTTTTTTTCAGTCTTGCTCCAAATGCCTAAAACAGTGTCTGGGGCGTACTGGGCACTCAATAAATATTTGCTTAGCGAATGAAGGAATGACTAATTCTACAGAATATAAAGACATCAATAGTTTTCTCCCAGAGAGGTGTTAGTTGTGTTAAATTCTAACCTGTTTTAAAAATTTCAAAGATAAAAGAAAGACTTTAATGACCTAGAGTTAAAAAAATTACCCTTGCCACCATTTTTTCCTGATAAACTAAAATGCTTAAAATGACTCAATTGTCTAGAGGACTCTCATGATCTGAAGTTGTCTACCTCTTTGATACTCCCTCCTACCACTCTCACCACAGCTCAGGAGGCTTCAGCCACCCCAGCCAATACACAAAGCCTTTTGCCATGTTAGGGTGTTTGCCCTTATCCATCCCCTAGCTTCTACCCCCAAATCCTTCATGGCTGGCCCTTTCATATCACTTTGCCTCAGATCAGATGTCACCTCTTCAGAGAAGACTCCCATAACCCTTGAAGCCAGTAGTTCCCAACTGGTGGTAATTTTGTCCCTCAAAGGACATTGGGAAATATCTGGAGACAGTTTTGTTTGTCGCACCTGGGAAGGAGAGGTTTTGCTACTGGGTCTAATGGGTAAATGGGTTGGGGATGCTGCTAAACATCCTACAATGCACACAGCAACCCCCACAACAGAGAATTATCCAGCCCAAAAAGTCAGCAGTGCCAAGATTGGGAAACTCTGCCCTGGGCTAATGCAGCCCCCACCTCTGACACTCACTTTCTTGCCACCAGTGTTTCACTTCCTCATAGCACTTCCTGCAAGTCAAAAATACTTTATTAATTTGTTCACTTTCTTTTGTTCTCGCTACTCTACTAGAATGTAAGCTCCATGAATGCAAAAGCCTTGTCTGTCTTATTCACGTATTGTCCTCAGTGCACCTAGTAGACATCTAATTACTTATTGCCTAGATGAATAAATAAACAATCATATACTGACCATTTTCTCTCCCCACCACATTATTGGTGTTCTCAACTGTCTTTTTGGCTACAACTTTGAGATAGTTTTACTTTTCAGCATGGCTTCTTTTCCTTATAAGTACTTTCACGAACACCTGTGGAAGTCATTATACACGGTTAAACAACCACAGACTCTAAAATCAGAACATCTGGGTTCAGTCAGACTGATACGGTTTGCCTATGTCCTCACCTAAATCTCATTTCGAATTATAATCTGAATTGTAATCCCCAGGTGTTGAGGGAGGGACATGGTGGGAGGTGATTGGATCATGGAGGCGGTTTCCCCAACACTGTTCTCCTCATAGTGAGGGAGTTCTCACCAGATCTGATGGTTTTAAAAGTGGCACTTTCCCCTGTGCTCACTTGCTGTCTCCTGCCACCGTATAAGACGTACCTTGCTTCCTCTTCTTCTTTGGGCATGATTGTAAGTTTCCTGAGGTCTCTCCAGCCATGTGGAACTGTGAGTCAATCAAACCGCTTCTCTTTATAAATTACTCAGTCTTAGGTAGTATCTTTATAGTAATATGAAAACAGACTAATACATAGACCTTTATAATTTACTAGTTCTGTAAGAATCTATTGAAGAAGTTACTTTATTAACTCTTGGAAAAGTTGCTTTATTTTTGTGGTCCTTAGATTTCCAAATCCTTTAGAAGAGGGTAATATTAATACTTCCTCAAAGAGCTACTTTGAAGACTAAACGATAATGCACATAAAGCACCTGGCACATGAAGCACATATATATTTGTCATTATTATTATTACTACTATTATTAATTTTTATTTTATTATGGTCAAACGTATATAACATAAAATTTACCATCCCAACCATTTTACATGTACAGTTCAATGCATTAAGTGTAATCATATTGTGCAACTGTTATTATTATTTTTATCCTCTGAATCTGTATTTTATTGTTTAAGCTTCCCTTTGTGCTGTGTCTCCTACTCTCATAATAGTATTCAAGATAGATCCTACTGATGTTGGATAGAATTAGATCGACCCATAATTCTTAGATAGTATGTACCATACATTTTATTGCTCAATGCATCTGCATGCTTAAGGGTGTACATTTTCCCTATGTATTGAATAGGTTATCTGCCATGTGTTTATCTCTTCATAAGTGTTTTCCCAGTAATAATATAGAAACCTTGTGCTTCGGTTTGAATGTGTCTTCCAAATTTTAGGTGTTGAATACTTAATCCCCAAATATATATGTTGATGGTATTTGGAGGTAGGGCCTTTGGGAGATAATTAGAATTAGATAAGGGCATGAGGATAGGGCCTCCATCATGTCACTGGTGGCTTTATAAGAAGAGAAAGAGAGACCTGAGCTGGTGTGCTCTTGCCTTTTTGTCCTGTGATGCCTTCTGTCATGTTATGATGCAGTAAGAAGGCCCTCACCAGGTGCAGCTTCTTGACTTTGGACTTCCAGAATTGTAAGAATTGTAAGAATTAAATGTCTTTTTGTCATAACTTAGCCAGTCTGTGATACTGTGCTATAGTAACAGAAAACAGGATAAGACATTGGCACACATTTTATTTCTGACTGTGTGCCCAATAAGCATACCCACTCTGTATGTGTGAAATCCTTGCCACCTTCAACTTGATAGTAACAAGTCACAGAAGATGAATATCTAGTTTTATAATCCTAAAATACAGGCTTAATAGCAAATCATGAAAGTAAAGATTTGATTATAGAGATTAGAAGAATAGAAATTGGGTTTTACAGTAATCGAATAACTATTAAGAATACTTCAAACGCCTTGAAAGAATCCTTAAAATACCAAGGTTTAAAACAAGATCTAGATATGGACTGAGGGTTTTTCCCAAGGAAAAAATATCCTACTCACTTAATTAAGCAATTTTTAAAAATTGTCATACAACTGTTTAAATACAGTCTCTTAGGTTTCTAAAATAACAAATTACGTGGGAAAATTAGTGCTAAGGGCTAAGAAGAAACAAAGGTGTTTCTCAACAATCACGTTTGGATTATTTTAAAAATACGATTCTAATCACTCCACAATTTAGAAAAGGCTAATGGTCTATTAGTGACCTTTGCTGGAAGCTTTTCAAGAGGATAGATTTGTTGTGATAGATTTCATCTGTGAAGTGAAATTTTGCAATGTAAGTTTTATAGTCTTTATTCATGAAAACTTCTCCCAAAGTAATTGAAAGGCTAGACATCCAGTTATCTGAACCAGAGTTTTATAAATGAGTGTGTGTAGGCTAGGAAAAAATTTTTATACACGGAGTTTTGTTATAACCTCAGTACACGGGTGAGGCACATTAAAAAAAAAATCACCTCATTAGGCTGGGAGCATACAGCTTCCAAGGGGGAAATGAATAGTTTGGGGGTTCAGTAGTACAATCCAACTAACATTTTGTCCAAGGATCCATAGATAACTAGTAGTCAACCATACCTGAAACCCAGGTCATCTGAGCTGGAGACAGTGGCTTTTTCTTTCCCTCTACCCTCTCTTACTACTCTCTAGGACCCTGGGTGCCCAGCCTTCTTTGTACAGGTTCCTGTTCCTTCCCTTCCAGCCTGCATCTGGCTGACTTCAGCCTGCAAATGCTTCAGAACAACCTTTCTTGTGCAGCATCTTTGTGTGATGGGGGAAGCACTGAAGAAGAAGGTACCACAGTCTACCTGCTTGGGCCTTCTGGTGATTATTTCTTCAACTCAGCTGTCTTGATCTGAGGGAGAGTTTTATGAGCTAAAAATCTGTCAGTGTTTCCATTTACCAAGTAGCTATTCAATCGTTTTATAGCCTAACCATTCCCAATTACCCTCAATTAAAACTTGGCACATATGTTGACAACCTTAGATGCAATTTTTTAATTGAAAATTGTTGATGGCTTTTGATTGAAGTCTAAAACCAAAAGTGCACAATTCCCATGATTCAGATCTTTGGTGTGGTTCTCAGATTATTTACTGTCAGTTATGATCACATGATACCACCACTTTCTAAAGGCCAGTAAATGTCATGGGTTGAAGGCAGGTTAAGGCTTGGGAGAAACCTTTTTCAAGTGTCGTATGGTCTATATTTTTGTTCATAGGCAGATCTGAGACTCAAGTGGCAGAGGGTTATGGGATGGGAAAATGAAGAATGGTGTGTTGTAAAAATAAGGAAGAATTAAATGACTTCAGAATGTAGAGTGGAGATGGCAAAATAAGAACTTGCATTGCTCAGCATTATTATCTGAACACTTGTTTAAGGACAGGCCCAGACCTGTAAAGAAATGTGAAGCAGGACAATTTGTTTTGAGATCCACTTTTCTTTCTCATCCCAGCCTTTTTCTGTTTCTTCCTACGCTTTTCCATCCTCTCTTGTTTTCTATCCCCAGTGATGTCATATCCACATTACTGGTATTAAGGAGTTTCTTTATTTTTCTTTTAATTTTACTTTAAGTTCTGGGATACATGTGCCGAACATGCAAGTTTGTTACATAGGTATACATGTGCCATGTGGTTTGCTGCACCTATCAACCTATCATCTAGGTTTTAAACCGCGCATGCATGCATTAGATATTCGTCCTATACATTAAAGAGTTTCCTATTTTAGTTCCTTATGGAAAAAACGATTTCAAGAATATTTTTGGCATATCAGAACATAGATTCTAGAGTCTTAATACCTAAGGATAAGACAAGCCTTGCTAAAAGTTATCACTTTTTGAAAATAAAATTATCGCTTCATTTCTTCTAGCTTCCAACACCAATAAGGGACAGTCATGAAACATATAAGCTATGCAAAATTACCGAAGTATGTAAATTTTGCACTGAAAAATAGTATCATTGGATATATTTAAAATGCGAACTTTGTATGCACTTATAAAATTATAAAAATGGAAGCCAAGAATTAGATAAATTATTTTAAATACTTTAAGCATAGTTGTAAACATTAGGTACCTGATACAGTTTGAATATTTGTCCCTGCCCAAATCTCGTGTTGAAGCATTGGAGGTGGGGTCTGGTGGGAGGTGTTTGGGTCATGGAGGAGGATCCCTCATGGCTTGGTGTTGTCCTTGCTGTGGTGAGTGAGTTCTCACAAGATCTGGTTGTGTAAAAGTGTGTGGCACCTCCCTGTTACCCTTGCTCCACTCTCACCATGAGAGACGTCTGCTCTCCCTTCACCTTCTGCCATGATTGCAAGCTTCCTGGGGCCTTCCCAGAAGCAGATGCCAGTACCATGTTTCCTGTACAGCCTGCAGAACAGTGAGCCAATTAAACCTCTTTTCTTATAAATTACCCTGTCTCAGGTACGTTATAGCAATGCCAGAATTACCTAATACAGAATCTTACAATGGAAATATAACAGGGACTGATAAAAGTTTTTTCCTTATTTCTAAAGTAATCTGGGACCATTTTTAGAGTTTGGGTAGTGGCATGTATAGTTTAGGAGTCCAAAAATATTAATATGAATTCTATTTTCTGTATCATTCCATGACTGCTTTGGAGTGTGAACTATATAAATGAAATGCTCAAAAGCAGAGAAAAAGTTAGATAATTGGTATAATTCTCCACACACAAAACCACCTGGCCCAAATAACTGAAGTTGTTGCTATAGACAGGAAATGTAAATGTGCATGCAACAATTTTCTTGGTAAGGCTGAAAGCTTTATAAAAATATTTTTTCCCTTAAATGCTACAAACATTTTTGCAAGATCAGTTAAAAATTATCATCCATGTAAAAGTTCACATTTAAGAAAAGTCATTCATTTTGTTTAATAAAATTTCTTTTACTGATTTAATTAATTGGCAGGTAGATGCCCACTTTCTGTGTTGTTCTAAAACAAATACTTTAAAAATGTCATCTAGATACATCTCTATGTTTTATACTCAATCTATCCCCTCTTTAGTAAATAAAGTATAATTAAGATTCCATCAAAGTGGTAAATGGAGATTATCTACAATCAATCTTATGTACCTATGTCTGCCAGGTTTTATTCTTGTTCCTGTTGCATCATGCCTTTGAGAGACCATTTCTTTAGATTTCATTTCATGTCTGTCTTAGTGAGTCACTTCTGGGACAATATATTCTTGAGTGCCTCGCGAGGGCCCCCAGTTAAATGCCATTTTGTAATGAGAGTTTCTTTGGTCACTGGACTAGTCTCTAAAGTTGTTAAAGCCTGCAGACCTTAAATACAGTGCTGGCTGATGCAACTTAATTAAACTACAGCAAATTGAATTTAGGTAATAAAACTTTGCTTGGATTTTATGGTTGTGATTGTCTTTTAGTTATTTATTTTATAAGGATGATAAGCTATCCATCCTGTGACTGCCTAGCCATTTTTGATGAGTCAGAATTACTCTGGGCTGGTCCCCACAAAGGAAGATTTGGCTTTTCTGCACATAGTGAAAAATAAATATGGTGCTTAATCTGAGATATCATGATCTTTCAGTCACCCCAAGATTCTTCTGGTCTGTTTCTGCACCATTCATTGGGTGTACACTTAGGTAATAAAAACTTATTTTAATATTGTCTAAGTGAAAGATAATTTATGCTTATTTCACAAAATTTATATAGTAATGATATATATAGGACATTTGAATTATCTGTTATTACACTTTCCCGTTGACATTAACAATGGATGGTTGACTTTATAAGAAGTTTAAATTTAACTTAATTTTCACATACTAGATGTAAATTAGGTTTTCTGTTTAGTCTACCTAAGGGAATTTATCAAACTAGGAGAAATTACAAGGGTTTAAGGATGGGTTGTATGATGCTGTAGAATCTGAGAAATTTGTGAGCTCCAATTCTAGTGGGTGTATAAACCCCAGTACCAAAGGCCGGTGGGTGAGTCCCAACTTCCCTCTGCAGCAGATGATTGTTATTTGGAGCAGTGGTCTCAAGGGGACACCGTGACTGTCACACACAAATAGGATGTATGAGTGGTTACAGCATCCTCGAGAGGTGTGGTCCTTGAGATATGAGCCTGGTTCTAGATTTAAATATTGACTCCTCCTGGACATCTGAAGGAATGACTGTAGTTGCTGTTGGAACTCCCCTCAACGGTAGCCAAAAATAATTGCAGCAACAGAGGCAGGTTTATTTTAACCACATGCCATGACAGGATGGTCAGCAGTGATGCCTACAGATACTTATTAAAGGTACCCTGAGAAGTGAGAATGCCCTTGTTTTCCAGTGCCTTTCCTTTTCACAATTGCAAGGATGAGAATAAGGGCTGACCTTGTGGTAATGACATTTTAAATGTTCTGAGTCTGAAGACTGCTGTAAGGTCAAGACGTTTTCTCCTAGAACTGAGCAAACCACAGTGTGGACTTACTTAAGAAGATTTGTGGCATTGTTAAGATCTCTTTATAATGAATATTTATACTTGCAAAGGATTTATTTCTTTCCAGGATGCCAAGAAATATGTTGATCCAGATTCTCTGAGTTTCACCAAACTACGTTCCCTTTTAACATTTTTGGAAAATGGATGAATTTCTTTCTGTCTCCTGAATGTTCGTTGGTTTGTAACTGAGCCTATCCACAGCACCTCTGCGGTCTTTCAGGCACATTAGATCTTGGTTTTTTTACTGCTTTGTGCTGTAGGGCAGAAATGCATCCACAAAAGGAAGTATATTAGGTATGGAAAGACGCTGGCTCTTTCAATCAGGGATGAGTCTCTCTCGATGCTATCTTCTTTCATCTAATAACTAGATTTGGCAGTAGTCTCAGGTGGGCTGAAATGCAGGTTTCTGTTGCTTCTTCCAAGTCTCTTCTGTGTGAACTAGAGAAATTACTTCAAAGCTGTAGAACTTGTCAGATTTCCATCAAGGCTGCAGAACCAGCTTATAACTTTTAAAATGAACTTTTAATTTTAGGAGAGGTTTAGATTTACAGAAAAACTGCAAAGATAGTACAGAGAGTTCCTATATAGCCTATACCCTATTTCCCCTATTACTAACATCTTATATTAGTATGGTATATTTATTACAAATAGTGAACGAGTATTGATATATGAGTATTAACTTCATACTTTATTCAGATTTTCTTCGTTTTTACCTGATATGGTCTGACTGCTGGTGTTCCACTAAAATTCGTGTGTTAAAATCTAACTCCCAGTGTATTAGTATTAAGATGTGGGACATTTGGGAGGCGACTAGGTCATGAGAGCAGAGCTCCTTGTCAATGACATTAGTGCCTTTATAAAGGAGGCCTAAGAGACCTTGTTCACTTCTTCTATCATATGAGGACATATATAAGGTACCATTTACAAGATAGGCCCTCACGTGACACTGAATCTGCTGGCATCTTGATCTTAGACTTCCCAGCCTCCAGAACTGTGAGAGATAAATTTTTGTTGTTTATAAATTAACCAGTCTATATTGTTATAGCGGCCCAAATGGACTAAGACATTACTAATTGTTTTGTTTCCAGGATCCCATTGAGGATACCCCACTGGGTCTAGTTGTCTTGTCTCCTTTGACTTTCCTTGGCTATGACAGTTTTTCAGACTTTCCTTGTTTATGATGACCTTGACAATTTTGAGGAGTGTCAGTTAGGTGTTTTGTACAATTTTCCCCTACTAGGGTTTGTCTGATTGTTATGGCTTGAATGTGTCCTCCAGAAATTCATGTGTTGGAAACTTAATCCCCAATGCAACATCGTTGGAAGGTGGCAGGTGTTTATGTCACGAAGGGGAGGGAGGTGTTTATGTCACAAAGGCTCTATTCTCATGAATGGATTAATGCTGTTATAACAAGGGGATGTGAGGTGGCATCATTCTCTCTTGCTTTCCCCTGCCCTTCTGGCTTCCACCATGTGATGATGTATTAAGAAGGCACTTGACAGCTGCTGGCACCTTGATCTTGGACTTCCCACCTCCAGAACTCTGAGAAAATAAATTTCTGTTCTTTATAATTACCCAGTCTGTGATATTCTGTTATAGGAGCATAAATGAAATAAGACACCGATGTTTTTCTTATGATTAGATGGGGGTTATGTGTTTTGGATATGATGACTACAGAGGTAAAGTGCATTATCATCACATTATATCAAGAATATGTACTATCAACATGACTTATCACTGTTGAGTTTAACCTTGATCACCTAATTGAGGTAGTGTTTGTCAGTTTACTCCACTAACTCATTTTTCCTCCTTTCTGAGGTGTATTATTTGGAAGGAAGTAATTTTAAACAGCCCACATTTAAGAAGTGGGAAGTTATTCTCCACCTCCTGGAGGGTGGAGTATCTACATAAATTATTAGAATTTTTCTGCAGGGGAGATTTGTTTATTCTCCCCCATTTACTTATTCAATCATTTATTTATTTATATCAGTACAGACTCAGATATTGATTTTCCACTTTGGGTTATAATCTAATACTACTTTATTTATTTTATTGCACAAATTATGCTAGCTTTGGCTACTGGGAGCTCTTTCATTTGGCTCCTGAAAGTTGCCCCTGCCACTGTGTTTTCCTTTTTTTTTGAGCACTTATCTTTTTTCTTGCACTAAAAGATGCTCCTGGCTCATTTCATATATTTCCTACCCAAGTCCTAGAGTCAGCCATTTCTTCAAAGAGTCCTGTTCAGATCAGTTTTTAAACAGCTTAGTTTTTACATTCTCTCTAAATCTTCCCTTGTGTTTGTGTATGCGATTATGTTAATGCTTTTTGTTTAGTTGGCATTGAAATAGGTTTTTTAAATCTTATTTTTTTGACAAGTGAGACCTAATTAAACTGAAAAACTTGCACAGTAAAAGAAATCATCAATAGAGTAAATAGACAACTTAGATAATGGGAGAAAATATTCATAAACTATGCATCTGACAAAGGTCTACTATCCAGAGACTGCAAGAACTTAAATTAGCAAGCAAAAAGCAACCCATTAAAAAATGGGCAAAGGACATGAACAGACACTTCTTAAAAGAAGACATACAAGCAGCCAACAAGCATGAAAAAATACTCAACATCACTAATCAGAGAAATGCAAATCGAAACCACAATGTGATACCATCTCACACTAGTCAGAATGGCTATTACTAAAAAGTCAAAAACAATAGATGCTGGCGAGGCTGCAGAGAAAAGGCTTTTATACACTGTTGGTGGGAATATAAATTAGTTCAGCCACTGTGGAAAGCAGTTTGGAGATTTCTCAAAGAACTTAAAACAGAGCTACCATTTGATCCAGTACCCAAAGGAAAATAAATAGATCATTATAACCAAAAGACACAAGCATTCATATGTTCATTGCCACACTATTCACAATAGCAAAGACATGGAATCAACCTGGGTGCCCATCATTGGTGGACTGGATAAAGAAAATGTGATATACACATATACACCATGGAATACTCTGCAGCATTAAAAAGAATAACATCATGTTCTTTGCAGCAACATGGATAAAGCTTGGAGGTCATAATCGAAAGAAATTAATGTGGGAATAGAAAACCGAATACTGCATATTCTCACTTATAAGTGAGAGCTAAATATTGAGCACACAGGGACATAAACATAGGAACAATAGACACTGTGGACTACTAAAGTGAGGAGGGAGGGAGATGTGTGTTGAAAAACTACATATTGGAGGCTGGGCATGGTGGCTTATGCCTGTAATACCAGCACTTTGGGAGGCAAAGGTGGGAAGGTCACTTGAGTCTAAGCATTCGAAATCAGCTTGGGCAACATCGTGAAACTCTGTCTCTACATAAAATACGAGAATTAGCCAGGCATGGTGGCACATGTCTATGGTTCCAGCTAATTAAGTGGCTGAGGTGGGAGGATGGCTTGAGCCCATCCTCAAGCCATCAAGGGTGCAGTGAGCCAAGATTGTGCCACTATACTCCAGCCTGGGTGACACAGTGAGACCCTGTTTAAAAAACAAAAACAAAACTACCTATTGAATACTATGTTCACTACCTGGTACAATATACCCATGTAACAATCCTGCGAGGATTTAGATACAAGTTACCCTCTTATCTAAAATAAAAGCTGAAATTAAAACAAAACAGAAAACAGAGTAAGTTTTAAAAAATATTAAAGAATTTTTTTTTTAATATAGAGAAGTGCAAACACTTACAAATAGGGGAATTTAGCTGTCATCCAGCTTCAACAATATCACCTTTTTGTTAATCTTATTTCTTGTATATCCGGATCCACTTACCCTTATATCCCAAACATCATATTATTTCATCTATAAATATTTCAGCACATATCTCTAAGTAATAATATCTTAAAAAACATAAATATTATGTAGATAAAAGAAACAATAACAATTTGTTTGGTGATAGATTGAAGGTGGTAACAATTATTTGACTCTTTCATCACATGGTGGGGTCTATGTTCCTATCCTTAAATCTTGGCAGGCTCTGTGGCTACAATATGGCAGAAGTGAAATTGTACCAGTTTTGGGGGCTACACCTTAAGATCTTCCACTTATTGCCTCTTAGAATACTTTCTCTGGGAGCCTTGATACACGTGTAATTTCAACTACCTTGAGACAGCTGTGGAGAGGCATGTGTTAGTGCTCCAGCCAACAGTCCCAGCTGAGCTTAGCCTTCTAGCCATATCTGCAAAGGCACCAGATGTATGGGTGAAGCCATCTTGGATGATCCAGACCAGCCCATCTGCCACCTCAGTTGACAACACGCAGAGCAGACAAATTGTCCAGCCTACTCCTGTTGCAATTGTTAACTCAACAAAATGTGAGATATAACAAAATGATTATAGTTTAATTCACTAAGTTTTGGGGTAATTTGTTAAGCAGAAATAAATAACTAAAATGGTAGGCTTTTAAAATTTGCATTCCCAGTGTTTCTGGATGAGCAGTGCATCTTTTGGGAGTGTGAGTTAGCCTGTCGTCAAAGGTCTTTTTGAAATTGTGTTGTCCCATTTGCCATGAAAATATTTTTGATTATTTCCTACCTTTGTTCTTAATATGATTTATTCAATTATATATTTATATAATGCAATTTTTAATAATGACTATTACAGCATTTTTGAACATTTACCAGTTGACTTTTCCAAGCTGGTATGATCTGACTCTAGCACGTTTCTGATGGACAGTCCCTCCTCGATCAGTTTCTGATTTTACCTCAATACTCAGCTATGGTAGAAGAGTTAAATGACCTAGTTTGGGAGTCAGAGTTCAGTTAACATTTTGGTTTTGTGACTTACTGGTAGTGTGAGCTTGAGTAAGTGACTTAGTGTTTCATCCCGTTGCCTCATGTGCAAAATGGGGATCATCATAACTACCTTAAAAGTTTGCTGTAGAAGATTGTATGAGGGAAATATGAACAGAACTTTGTACATTGTCAGCTCTAATATTTTTATAATTCTTTGGTGTTCTTGTAAAATATATGGGCTCACATAGGTAGTAATTCTATTGACATTCACAGTAATAAAAAGAAAGGTAGCCTTTCTTGAGAAAATTAGGGAGATTTTCCCTAGTCTTTGGTCCTTGTTTTGACTGTACTGGGGACTCTGGGCTTTAATCTTCACAGAGAGGTGTGGTGGGTGTGGGTCGTGGCAACATGAAGGCTTGTGCATACTTTTATTCAAAAAGGATGTTAGCAGAAAGAAGCACCAACTTTCCTAGCATGAGGATTCCTGACATGCCCATCTTCTGTGACACGGTTGAGAAAGTATATGATTTCCCTTTTGCGGACTGGCAAACAGAAGATAAAAGAGATTACAACTTTCCCCAGGATTATAGTAGCAAGGCTGGAAAAAAAATGGCAGAAATATTCAGTACAGCTTTTTGTTAGTGGATTCGCTCCAATACCCAGACCATGAAGGTTCTTTAATTTCCCCCAAACTATACTCTTAAATGAGGCCTATTTCAGGCAGAGACACTAATCCAGCCCTGAGGTGGAATACTTCCTCCTCAGCGCCCTTCTTTGATGTGTAGCTGATATGGAACTGAGTGCCAACATATGTTTGTACAAATATATTGGCAAATGTAAGCAGCCTACTGCTAATTACTACACTCTGAACCTCATGTGAAGTTTGAATGATGCCTCAAGGAATTTGAATGTAAGAAAATAATATATATACATATTTTTCAAATCTTAGCAAAAAAGGGTTAACTTCTTTATGGTTGAAACTGGAAGACACTCGAGAATTATCTTGTCTTCTCAAACCTTTGGCAATAACATGTTTATTTAAGGAACTCAGGTCAAACAGTTGCTAGAAAAGATTAAGTGTTTTGGACACTTTTAAAATAAAAAAGGGCCGCTTAAATTAAAAAAACCCAAAATTGCTTAATATTTTACAAATGAAAATAAGAACAATATAATTTAAACAGATGCTATACAAAACAACAGAGTACTATAGGCCAAAGGTCACAAATTAAAGACCATTTATGGGCTGAGAACAAAGCTACTGGGTTCAAAACATAAAGCGAATACTGTGGGAACTTCAGAGGGGCTTGCCCTGCCTAAAGGTATTCAAATTCAAATAATTTTGGAGTACTATGCTGGCTTAGCATAATTGGGAAGGCCAGATCAGGCTTTTGTACTCAACGTTGTGGTCCTTGATTTAGACAATATTGGTTAAAAAGATGGTACTTTAATCAGTTTACTACATATTTCAAACTAAAACATTATTTTTAAACATGAATTATATGAACACATTTCTTCTACTAATTTTGTAAATATTAAGGGTTGATTTTAACTAAACCAAATGGAGGGTTTTTTTTTAACTTTTAGTGATGGATATATAGAATTATTCTGTTGATCAGCTTCTGAACATCTCAAATTTTAAATATAGAAATGTTATCAGAATACTTCCTTTTTAAGAATACGAAATGTTTGCATTCTGTGGAGATGTGGAGAAAACTAAAGCCAAACCGAAGGAGTGGCTTAATCTCTATTTCTGTGATGAATTGACTTCTGCTAGTCAGATGGGAAAAAATTAGAATGTTTAATCACTGTGTTTAATTGAAAGGAATTTGTAATGATTCAATTTGGTTATCTCTATATCTAGATATTTAGACTAATTTTTTTCTAATTTGGTTTAGTTACAGGGGAGATGTCTAAATTGATAATATAGAAAAAACAAAAGCAGTGTTATTTTTTTAAAATGTAAGTAACGTAGTAGAATAAATTCAACTAGCTAACCCAATAATTAACCAACTAAGTAATTTGATAAAAATTTGGTTTAGTTTCTTAGGACACCTGTATTAATGAAAAGAAAAGGTCGATTTGTAATTAGTACTTAAGTGTTGTTATTTACATGGTTGTTTCTAAATTTCCTAGTGTGCTTCAACTTAGAATTTCTTCTTAAATATTTTAAATAATTTTAAATAATTTCCTGAATTGTTATTAAAAATTCACTTTATTAAATTTCTTTTTCCCTGTAGTCAGGAAGAGTTAAATAAATACTATTAAGTATGTGAATGTACTTGGTAAATTGTACATAATTAGAACATTGTGAGTGACACCACCACCTTTGAAATCTTTAAGTATCCCATGCTGTGATGCCCATGTCTTATTCTTCCAGCTCAATTGCTCTAGTACACCCACTGCAACAATTCTTCAATGTCATAGAGACCTCCAGTCCAGGGACCCTGTGTATTCCATCCATCAGTTTCCTCCCGTCTTCATTTCCTTTCTTGTTCAGCGTAATGTCATGGTCCATCATTATTATTACTCCCTTGCTAATGCCCTAAACCTCCTTGCTCCTCTTTTCCTTCTTCACATTTGACTGGCAAAAGCTCAACCCTGATTGAACCCAACCATCGCCTTTTCATGAACGCTGTTTGGGGAAAAAATTCACACACGGAGGCTGACTGATGGCTAAATTTTTGGTCTCAAACTTCACATAGGCTCAACCAAAATCTAGAAATTCACTGATTTTTTTTCCTCCTGTTTTTGGGACAAAATTTTACACATTGTAACAGAGCAAAAGCTGCTGGTGGTGGTGGTGCTGAAGCAGTAGGGTAGGAGAAACTTAGATATAAATGTAATGAATGGAGTCTTAATTTTAGATCCCATTGCTTTAGGTAACTTTTGGGTGTTTTGTCTTCTAGATCTCTTCACTTTCTCTAGCTCCTCTTCATGGATGATATCTAGACATATGGGGCAGCTAACTTAATTTTATGATGGTGGGTAAGGAGGCCTCAGATATGCTTAATAAACTGGTCAGCTGCTGTGTTTGCGGAGGAGGAGGGGTCCCCTATCTTTACTGATAGTTGGCCCTTGGCATTGGTACCCACTGAGGTATGTCCGCTCCCCTGTGGCCTTTTGGAGGTCTTGTGTGTGCAGCTGTTTCTGAAATTTGCAGTCTTAGCTGTTTGTCCTGGTTGCATAGATCTTGTACTTATGTGTCCCTTTTTTTTCTGGTGCCGGATCTCTTTTGGTTAACTAGCCCTCTCATCACCTTTATGTCCACTCATACTCCACACAAGCTTTAAGAAGCCAGTGGCATATGGGTGCTATTGGTTCTGTGCCCATTGGACATTGGGTTCTGTCCCAGTGAGGGACTTCTGCTAATGGTTTATATCTCTTCTAGGCTCTGCCTGGAGAAGCAGTCGGCTAGCTCTAATGTTCTTGGGCGGCTCTGTACCTATCAGAATGTTTCTACACCCTCGGTACTGAAGCTGAATGCTGAGAAGGAGGAAAGGCAAAGAGGTTGCTGTACCTCTTGCTCTTCTCCTGTCCCCGTTATTCTACGGCTGAATTAGGTGGCTTTTTTCCCCTTCCTATGTGGCAGGGACTTTTCTTGTGTCCTATCTTGAGTTCTTCAGACTAATAGTAAAATTGACGGTTAAGCCAGCCGGACTGGCTTTTAATACATTACTGGAAGTTTAAGAAATTTAAAAAATATTTTTTCTCTTGACAAACCCTGTTTTTAAAATAGATGGAATTGCTAGGGATTCGGCTGGTGTTAATTGCATTTTTCTATTCCTGTGCTATGTGTACTAATCACCATCCTATGCCCCCTTCACCTGCTCTCTAAGTCCCCTGTAGATGAATGCCTCTGAGTAGAAAGAAGGTCACGTCTATAGAGATGCAAAAGAGAAAAGCACATTAATATATATCAAAAATTGTTATCCTTGTTACACTACTAAGTTTACTTTTCCATTCTATGAGATGACTACTTTGTCTGCTTGGTCCTTAGAGCTCTCATTACTCTTCCCCCTCTTTCTTACCCAGTTCTCAGCAGAAGACCCCATCTCATGAATCACTGAGAAAAATTATAGTCATTGGAGAACTCTCACTGCTGAGTCTATCCATAATCTGCATCTTTTTCTTCTTTACAGAAAAGATGTAAGAAGAGTCAATTCTACTGAAGACCAATCCCTCCAGCTTTGCTTGCGATTCTATTTCCTCTTATCTTCTAAACATTTCAGTCCTTCCCTTTATCTTTTACATTATGAGTGTCTTTTTCTACTGAATTATTCTCATCAGTATAAGAATATGCTGTAGTATTCCTCTTTTTTATTGTAGAACTTAATAAAACTTTATTTATTTAATTTAAAAATTTTTAATATTTGTGGGTACATAATAGGTGTACATATTAATGGGGTACATGAGATGTTTTGATACAGGCATGAAAGATGAAATAATCACATCATGGAAAATGGGGTATCCATCCCCTCAAGTATTCCTCTTCTTGAAGGAAAAAAAACTCACCCCATATCTTCCCCACCCTCAATTTACTAATTCCTTTCTCTGCCACCCTTCCTGGCTAAGTTCTTTAGAAAAGTAGTCTATATGCTGTCACCCTTTCTATGCAGTTTCAAACCACTCAAATATGGCTTTCTTCTCTCTACCATTTCACTGAAATCACTTGTGCCAAATCCAATGTTTATGATTATGCTCTTGTCTTACTTAATTTCCCGGTAGCATTTAGCATAGCTGATTATTTTCTCTTTTGGGAAAAAAATTTCGATGTCTCTTAGCTTCCACACTCTTCTGGCTTTCTTCTTGTCTCATTAGCAACTCAATCTCATTCTTTACTGGCTTTTCCTCTTTTTTTGTAATTTTAATTTTATTTAAATTATTTTCAATTTCAATAGTTTTTGGGGAAGAGGTGGTGTTTGGTTACATGGATACATTCTTTAGTGGTGATTTCTGAGATTCTGGTGCACCCGTCACCTGAGCAGTGTACATGGTAGCCATCGTGTACTCTTTTAAACCGCAACCCCACCCATCCTTTCCCCCAAGTCCCCAGAGTCCATTATATCATTCTTACGCCTTTGCATCCTCATAGCTTAGCTCCTATTTACAAGTGAAAACATACGATGTTTGTTCTCCCATTCCTGAGTTACTTCACTTAGAATAATGCTCTCCAATTTCATCCAAGTTGATGTGAATTCCACTATTTTATTCCTTTTTATGGCTGAGTAGTATTTTATGGTATATTTACATATATTATATATATATGTATATATACACATAATTTTCTTTATCCACTGGTTAATTGCTTGATGGGCATTTAGGCTGGTTCCATATTTTTGCAATTGGGAATTGTGCTGCTACAAACATGCATGTGCAAGTGTCTTTTTTATATAATGATTTCTTTTTCTGTGGGTAGAACCAGTATTGGGATTGCTGGATCAAATGGTAGTTCTACTCTTAGTTCTTTAAGGAATCTCCACACTGTTCTCCATAGTGGTCGTACCAGTTTACATTTTCTCCAGCAGTGTAAAAGTGTTCCTTTCTTACCACATCCATGCTAACATCTATTACTTTTTGATTTTTAAATTATGCCATTCTTGCAGGAGTAAGATGGTATTGCATTGTGATTTTGACTTGCATTTCCTTGATCATTAGTGATGTTGAGCATTTTTTCATATGTGTTTGGCCATTTGTCTATCTTCTTTTGAAAATTGTCTGTTCATGTCCTTAGCCCACTTTTTGATGGGATTATTTGTTTTTTTTCCTTGATGATTTGTTTGAGTTCCTTGTAGATTCTGGATACTAATCCTTTGTCAGATGCATAGTTTGTGAATATATTCTCCCACTCTGTGGGTTGTCTGTTTACTCTGCTGATTATTTCTTTTGCCGTACAGAAGCTTTTTAGTTTAATTAAGTCCCACTTATTTATCTTTATTTTTGTTGCATTTGTTTTTGGGTTCTTGGTCATGAACTCTTTGCCTAAGCCAATGTCTAGAAGAGTTTTTCTGATGTTATCTCCTAGAATTTTTATGGTTTCAGGTCTTATATTTAAGCCTTTGATTCATCTTGAGTTGATTTTTGTATAAGGTGAGAGATGAGGATCCAGTTTTATTCTTCTACGTGTGGCTTGCCAATTATCGCAGCACCATTTGTTGAACAGGGTGACAGGGTGTCTTTTCCTCACTTTACTTTTTTGTTTGCTTTGTTGAAGATTACTTGGCTGTAAGTATTTGACTTTGTTTCTGAGTTCTCTATTCTGTTTCATTGGTCTACATGTGTGCTTTTATACTAGTACCATGCTGTTTTGGTAACTATAGCCTTGTAGTAGTATAGTTTGAAGTCAGGTAAAGTGATGCCTCCAGATTTCTTCTTTTTGCTTAGTCTTGCTTTGGCTATGTGGGCCCTTTGTTTGGTTCCATATGAATTTTAGAGTTGTTTTTTTCTAGTTCTGTGAAGAATGATGATGGTATTTTGATGGGAATTGCATTGAATTTATAGATTGTTTTTGGCAGTATGGTCATCTTCATGTTATTGATTCTACCTATCCATGAGCATGGTATGTGTTTCCATTTGTTAGTGTCATCTATTGTTTCTTTCAACAGTGTTTTGTAGTTTTCCTTGTAGAGATCTTTGACGTCTTTCGTTAGGTATATTCCTAAGTATTTTTATTTTTTTGCAGCCATTGTAAAAGGGGTTGAGTTCTTGATTTGATTCTCATCTTGATTCCTGTTGGTGTATAGCAGTGTTACTGATTTATGTATGTTGATTTTGTATCCTGAAACTTTGCTGAATTCATTTGTCAGATCTAGGAGCTTTTTGGATGAGTCTTTAGGGTTTTCTTCCTATAGGACCATATCATCAGTGAATAGCAACAGTTTGACTTCCTCTTTACCAATTTGGATGCCCTTTATTTCTTTCTCTTGTCTGATTGTTCAGGCTAGGACTTCCAGTACTATGTTGACTAGAAATGGTAAAAGTGGGCATCCTTGTCTTGTTCCACTTCTCAGAGGGAGTGCTTTCAACTTTTCCTCATTCAGTATAATGTTGGCTATGGGTTTGTCATAGATGGCTTTTGTTACCTTAAAGTATGTCCTTTCTTTGCTGATTTTGCTGAGGATTTTAATCATAAAGGGATGCTGGATTTTGTCAAATGCTCTTTTCTGCATCTATTACGATGATCATATTATTTTTGTTTTTAATTCTGTTTAATGTAGTGTATCACATTTATTGACTTGCATATGTTAAGCCATCCCTGCCTCCCTGGTATGAAACCCACTTGACCATGGCTTATTAGCTTTTTGATATGGTGTTGGATTTGGTTGGCTAGTATTTTGTTGAGGATTTTTGCATTTATGTTTATCAGGGATATTGGTTTGTAGTTTTCTTTTTTTGTTATGACCTTTCCTGGTTTTGGTATTAGGGTGATACTGGCTTCATAGAATAATTTAGGGAGGATTCCCTTTTTCTTTATCTTTTGGAATAGTGTCAATAGGGTTGGTACCAACTCTTCTTCGAATATCTGATAGAATTCAGCTGTGAATCCATCTGGTCCTGGGCTTTTTTTGTTGGCAATTTTTTTATTACTGCTTCAATTCTCACTACTTCTTATTGGTCTGTTCAGAGTTTCTATTTCTGTCTGGTTTAATCTAGGAAGGTTGAATATTTCCAGGAATTTACCCATTTCCTCTAGGTTTTCTAGTTTGTGTGCATAACAGTGTTCATAGTAGCCTTGAATAATCTTTTGTATTTCTGTAGTATTGGTTGTAATATCTCCCATTTCATGGCTTTTCCTCTTAACTCAAACTCTAAATGTTGGCCATCTTCAGGGCTTAGTCCAGCCTTTATTTTTTTTTAAATATTTTTTCCAAAGTTCCCTCTCCCAACTTTATGACTTTAAATACCACATAATTAGAATTTTCCACATTTGTATCTCCTCAGACTTCTCGTCTGAGCTATGGACTCAAACATTCAAACTATCTTCTTGATGTCTCTGTTTGAAGGAATCACAGCCATCTTAAACTTAACATGGTTAACACAATTATTGATTTCCTGTCTCTCATTCCCCAGTAATCCTCTTCAGTCTTCCATATCTTAGTAATAGTACCATCATCCTCTAGGTCCTTAATCTGTAAATCTAGTAGTCTTTCTGGATTTCCCAGCTACTTCTTTTCAGTGTCTTGCATGGTTACTTTTTTTGATGTATTCTTTAAACAGTGGTGTTTTGGCTTAGCATCTACTCACTTTTCATTTGAATTTTTCTCCCTAATCAATTGGATCTACTTCTATGGCTTCATTGTCATCATATGCTGATGACTTTCTGAATTTATCTCTAACCTTGGATTTGCTTCTGAAATTGTGGCCCTTATATTTAAATACTTAGTCAACATCTTTATTTCGATGTTCCACAGGAAACCTCAAATTTTCCTATCCAGAATGGAATTTGCTACATTCCCAATAACTCATGCTTCCTTCTTGTCCCCTCTCTCAGTGAATAATATGAGCATCTAATAGAGTCACAAGCTAGAATCCTGGATACCACTCTTGGTAAGTTGTCCCTTTTTCATTCACATTAAATCCATCAGGTTTTGTCACCTCGATGTCTAAAATATGGCACAAATTTGTTAACTCATCTTCCTTTCTCATGAAACTACCTTGGAACAGGTCTTTCTAATTTTTGTCTAGACTGTTGCAGCAGTCTCCTCATTTTCATTTTTACTCACTTCCATTCTATTCTTCAAGAAGTCAGAATGATTTCTGAGAAAGCAAATAAGACCATGTCATTGTCCTGTGTAAAGCCATTTATTTTAATATTATGCTTCATAAATCTGCAATCATTTTGTTTATCCATTTGTTTATCTATGATTGTCATCCCTCATTGGGATTCATGCTCCATGTGAAGAAGGTTGTGTCTGCTTATCTTTTGTTTCTTAAGCATCTTGCACAGTTTCCCAAGCACCATTTCTTAATGATAATAGTAATGATGAAAAACAACAAAGGGACTCAGTAATCAACATAGAGGTCTGGTCACCAGAAATCCCAAAATAGTGCAGTTCAGTTTTGTACTAAAATGACATTTTAGTGAATTTAAACTAAGACATTTTAGTAAATAAATCTAGTATGGAATTCCATTTTTCAGCTTTGTTTTCAAGGGATTGTGAATCTAGGCACATGAGTGAGTAGTTTTCCCTGTTACTCTATATGAGGCCTACAGCTTGCTCAAGCAAGTTCAGGACCACAGCTAGGCCCTTTGAAGAAATCCATATGTGTAGAACTCTAACCAGGTCAGACGTAAGTTACAGATATTCTTAAAGTGACTTTTTGTCTTTCTGGCTGGATATGATACTGTAGTTTCTGTAAAACAAAGGAGGACCATTTAGTTTCAAAAATACAATATGGGTAAATACAATATAGATAACTTGGTAATAAAAGGATTTTAATTTAATTTAGGTATTTATGTTTAGATACCAGCTACTAGTAAAATACCACCTCCCCCCACAACAAACACATATACTCTAGTAGTTTCTAATGCTTATAGAAAAATGGACTTAATGATTTTTGGATTAATCTTTCTTAATTTTCATTTGCTTTTCAATCTTCTTTGGGAAAAGGGTAACCTGTGTCTCAACTTTTTATGATGATCAATTTACACATCATATATATATATATTTTTGGATATATACCCTAATGGGATTGCTCGGCTGATTGGTAGTTCTAAGTTCTTTGAGAAATCTCCAAACTGCTTTCCACACTGGCCAAACTAATTTACATTCCCACCAGCAATGTATATACACATCATAATTTGAATATGCTATGTTCCAGATTAGTTGCCAGCAAGAAGGGGTGAGATGGGGGCTAAGAAAAAGATGATAGCAATATAAAAAGAGATTTGAAATAAATATATATATCAGTTTAAAAATATATATTTATTCTGGGTGATACTGATGCGTCAATGTGAGTTCATCAATTGTGTGGTAACAATGTATCACTTCGGTGGGGGATGTTGGTAATGGGGAGGCCCACACATGAGTGGAAGCAAGGGATATGTGGGAAATCTCTGTATCTTCCACTCATCTTTGCTATGAACCTAAGACTGCTCTACAGAATAAAGTCTATTAAAAAATATATATCTTACCAGTGGCAGGGGTGTGGGTAGAGTGGAGAGTGGGGCTAGGGAGTTTCAGGGCATAAGGGTTAAGCCGTGTCTTCATTCAGATACCCCATGGAACCACTGAAGGGCTTTCCCAGGTATCCTACAGTAGCATGGCATACACTCAAGGTTAGTGGAGAGAACTCTTAACTGGTAAAATGTGTGAATTCTGTGTTTCTAGGCAATTATGAACACCAGGTAAAACAATGTCAGTTCTTTAACCTCAGAACCTTTGCGGAGTGGTCAGCTAAAGTGAACTAGACAGTGACTCAGGAAATCTAAGCATTTCTGTTTTTTTTTTCTTCATTATTTTTGTGTCAGAAACTTGGTGGTTAATTGTGTAGTTAACCCGTGGCTGGCTGTAGAGGGATTCTATTCTCTAAATGCAATCCCATATAAAATGAGTCTTACCAGCTTATAAAAGAAAAAGTTCCCTATATCATTAATTTTTATAAGTGTAATCACATCAGAAATATACTAATGGAGTTCTTTATTGAAAGAAAACATATATAAGAATCTTCTTAATATAAGAATAATATCTGCTCCATCAACTGCATCTCAAAATTTGTGCTAGGATTTAGCAAGTTGTACAAAGAACACAAGCCTTTATCTCAATAGGTCTGGGTTCTTTTCCCAATTGTCACTGGCTGTGTGACATCAAGAAAAACTCCTAACATTGCAGGGGCACTTTTCTTATCTCTAGAAAGAGTTGCACTAGATGATGCCCAAGAATTTCTCTGGCTTTAGAATTTTCTGTTTCATCTTCCAAACTTGGAAATTCATTGATTTTGATGTTTTTATGGTTGCATGCTCATATTATATAACCAAGATGACTGTGTGCTAAATTAATGCTAATCCCCAGGACTAAATAAAAGTTATTTGAAAACTGTGGTGCATTGATTGCCATCTCTTAATGAAACTTCCGGGACCTTGATTAACCTAGATGTTCGTTTTTGTTGTTGGAGAATCTGGCTGTTGGTATGGTATCAATATGCATGGCAATAACTTTAGAATTATTGGTGAGATAAGAAATAGTTTCAAAATCCATGTAACTCCTCTTGTGCAGTGAAAGGAATACTAAAATTTTAAAGATACATTTTGAATTTTGGCCTTACCTTTTTAATGACTCTGTGACATTGCTAAGTCACTTAATTTCTCTGATATTTAATTTTTTGCGTCTTTGAAGAAAGGGATAATGCCTGTTCTGCATACATTATAAGTCGACTATAAGTGAAAATAGTTTTATAGGAGAATTCTCTTTGAGTTATTGCAAAATGCAAAACATTCTAAAGATTGTAGTTTAATCTTTTGCCATGGCAAAGATAAATTACTTCCAACTGCTAATTTTGGGAAGCGAGCAATAATATTTTATGAATGTCTCTCTGGGTTGGAGACCTGCAGCATTTGTAGGAAATCACATACAGGCGGCATCATTTGATAATTCTGCTATCCTGATCCTGCTTACTGCAATATCCATCAGTAGAGTAAGGGTATGTCTGAGGAATACTGTATGGCACTCTGCACTCTTCATAGAAGTGATTACTTGTTGAAACAAAGGCTATGGCAGACACAGTATCATCAATCTTCTGACTTGGTACTTCATTTCTTTGGGTCTAGTCTTTTTTATCCTGGCTCTAGCACTTACTGGCATGTGAACTTGTAACATGCTACCTAACCCTGATGAGCTTATAAAAGGAAAAGTTGTATAGATCATTAATTTTTATAAACTAGGCACCAGTTTTCCTCTCCCTCAAAAATGGTAGCTATTGTATTTGCTACTCTTACATTATTATTCTCTAAGTGCAGAGATTTGCAGGCATATACATCCTAAAGAAAGGGTATTAAAAGTCCCAAAGTTTATAAATCACTGCTTTCCCCAAATCCTCTATTGCCAATGGGCATTATTATTTAGGATTAGAGATTACTGAGAATAACAGAGACCCAAAATATACTGTCTTAAGTAAAATTGAAATTTATTTCTCTGACACTGAAAGGTTTGTAGATAAGTAGTTTAAGGCTGATGTGGTGGGTCAGTTCCACAGAGTCCTCAGGGCCCCAGCTCCGTCTATTGTGTTGCTCTTTTGTGTGTGGCTCCTAATTTACCAAGGTCATCTCATGGCTCAACATAGTTGCTCTAGCTCCAGCCATCAAGTCCACATTCTAGCTAGCAGAAAAGAGGAAGGGACAACAGAAAAGGAAAATGGTGTGCATTATTTAAAGAAGGTCCCCAGAATGTTGTATAAAATTTGTCCACTGGATGAAAATGTATATACTTACCAACAAAGGAGGTTGTGACATATAGTCTGTCCATGTTCATGAGGAAGAGGAGAACAAATATTGGGAAAAAGCTAGCTTCTTAGACACAAGAACAATGACAGAGGCATTTAAAAATGTGTCCCAGATAATTGAGAAAAAAACCAGCAAAAAAAGGAAGGGGAGTGAACCCGGGAGGCGGAGCTTGCAGTGAGCCGAGATTGCGCCACTGCAGTCCAGCCTGGGCGACAGAGCAAGACTCTGTCTCAAAAAAAAAAAAAAAAAAAGGAAGGGGATATATGTAGCTATGTTAGTCTGAGTTAGGTGGTTATTATGAGGATTTTGTTGTTGTTGTTGTTACATGTAATTATCAAACATACCGAAGCCTAATTTGCAGTCTTGAGCTTTTGTTTTTTTAGCTGTTATTGAGAGGAAAACAATCTCCTGGATTCTTTTCTCATCCTGGAAGTATGGATGCCTTCTCTAGTAAGTAAGTTTATTTTGCTTTCAGTGAAGCATATGTATTACCTTTAAAAAAACATTAATTATATTCTGTTATTTTTTTGACTAGAAAACCATATACTTTAAGAAGGATTTAATAACTTGGTCCCTGGGTGTCAATCAATAAAGCACGTGAATAACCAGTGCAAAGTGGTCACTCGGCTGCCCAAGGGGAGGTCATCCAAGAATGAAATCAGTGTAACAACAGCTGAATTGCATCCTTCATCAAATGCATGTAAAACAGACCAGAAAGACATCAATTCCCAATGCTGGTATGGGTGGTCTTTCTACTGCATGTATAATTTCCAATTTAACAAAGGTTAATACCATGTTGTAATTTGAAATGTCAAAATAATAAATCCTATGTGGGTAAACTAGATGGTGGTTTTAAAATTTATAATGAATATTCAGTTGAAATAGTAAAGTCATTTAAATCACATCAGCAGAGTTTTTCTCTTTTTCAAACTAGTGATACACACACACATATATATATATATATATATATATGTGTGTGTGTGTGTGTGTGTGTGTATCACTAGTTTATACCAGAATAGATATATATTCTGGGTAACAGCTTTTATGGGTCTGATATCAGATCAGATAACTAACATCTGATACCTTGTCTTTTAGGTCAGCATGGCCCAGTATGATTGGAGGCAATGACATATTATTAAGTAAAAAATTCTAGATAGAGTGTTTCCTTTTGACAGCTTTTAATCACCTGTTACTTTCTTTCAGTTTTTTATTCCTTGAGGTAACTTATTTTAGAGGCTAGTTTGAATATTTAATCTGTTCTTGTCTTTTACTGTGAATTTCCTTCTAAATTTTAATTCACAATATTATTCATATTAAATCTGTTCATAAGATAAAATGTGTTAGTAATTTCGTCTTTTTAAAATTGAATTTATTTTAATAATTTTCTTTAATCAAAAAATTAAAATTCCCTCCTAGGAACAAGGCACAAAAGGCTCAAGAGCTTCAATTTACTTCTCTTCTTCTTCTTTTTTTTTTGTCTTGTTTTTTTGTTTTGTTTATCTTATTTTACTTTAAGTTCCAGGATACATGTGCAGAACCTGCAGGTTTGTTACATAGGTAAACGTGTGCCATGGTGGTTTAATCCCCACATGCATTAGCTATTTGTCCTGCTGCTCTCCCTCCCCTCCCCACCCCGACAGGCCCTGGTGTGTGTTGTTGCCCTCCGTGTGTCCATGTGTTCTCGCTGTTCAGCTTCCACTTATGAGAGAGAACATACTTCTCTTCTTTACCTATGGTAAATTCACTTTTGATGGGTGTGCTTGTCAATACTGAAAATGTTCTCCATTGCTTTTAAAAAAGAAATAGTCACATCAGCAAAATGGCTACCTTTCATTTTGGGTATTTCATTACTCTTTTTTGGATACCTGTTAGTTTAATTCATTTAAACAATCATGTATTGAAAGGCTACTTGGTTCCAGGTGTTTGCCAAGATTGGGAAATATAAACATGAGTGAAGTATGGTTCCTGACCTTGAGAAGTTCAGAGTCTAGAGTCTGAACTTTCTAATTTGAATTGCTTTTAGAAAACAAAAATAGAATATCAATCATTCTGGGAGATTTAAATGATGGATTTAAGATAAGAAATGGGTAATTTAAACATAATAGAAAGCAATGTAGAGATCTGTTTTGTTTTAAATCTCTATCCTTGTATTGAACTTGCATGTGAGTTTTCCATCTCTCTATATTACTAATGTTCCAGAAGAAGCCGACCTTGGCAACAAAAAGATCACTTTACCACCAATATATTACAAAGACTGATTTGGATGCAACTTAGAACCTGTGAAAATCTAGTCCTCTTTTATTTACTCAAAGATCCTTTCCATTTTACGGTACTTTGCCTATAAGAATAGTGTTAAAATTAGATGTGATATCCAAATCTTCTGATTTGGGTAGTGGTGCATTTTCACCCAAAGCTAAATTGCAAAGAAAGTGGACAATGATCAAGCATAGATATTGATCCCATATTTCTTAACCTTTATGAATCTATTATCTTCCAAAAATCCATTTAGGATTTAGATAGAAAGCAGGATTTCCTTTTGACTCTACAGTGTATAAAACACAGAACATCTGAGAAACAGAAACATCCAACCTTAATCATGTTCCACTTTAAGTGAAGGTAAAAGTAATAAAGTTGTGTTGGTACAAATCTTTAATAGAATTTTTATGTAAATAGGGGATTCTTATGTTACTTTAATGCAAAATAGAAAGAAAACAAATGAAATTTTATATGAAAATTAAAAACCTAAGAGTCAAAAGGTAGATGTATGTAGAATCCTCCACAGTCGGCCTATCAATGAATTCCTTTCTCATTTTTCTCTTGGTCTGCATTCAGCAGTGTCATCTTTTCTTTCTTTCTTTACTCTCCCCTTTCTTCTCCTTTGCTTCCTTCTCAGTTTCTTGCTCCCTTTCTGCCAGCTTTTTGAAAATGCCATACTGTACCCCACCTTTCCCTGGTTGGACTCCTCTGACTTCTGAGAGTTCCTCTGGTAGGAAGTAGTCCAGTGATTGCCTGTTGACTTCACAAGGAAGAGTTCTTAAATATGCTGTTTTCTTAGCAGCTTGGAGAAAAGCAAGTGAATGGCTTTCATCTTAGAGGGAAATCTGTAGGGACAATGTGGGTGCACTTCCTTGCATAGAGCTACCGTTTGCACTGCATGGGCTCTGAGGTTCTTTTACTTCCCTTTTCATACCTCTTTAAGAGAGGCCCCTAGAGAACCAACTCTCTGATTTTTGTGCTTGGGAAGCTCTTGGAAAACTGATGTTTTTCTCCCTGATGTAAAGTCAGTAGTCTTAGGACTGAAAGCTTAGATTCCAGCTTTGAGCTCTGATTTATTGTTCTCTGATGTATGTGGATCCAGCTAGGACTTTAATACTTACTTCAGTTCATTTCCTGCATTGATTTCTCAGGTAATCTCAAGATGCCCTATAAGGTCCTTGAAGGCTCTGAAACCCCTGACGTCCCAGGCCTATGCCAGGTTTGCCCTAAGGACCTTGGTCAATTTCCTTTACAACCACATCCCAGCCCCTACACTCCTGATCTTGGTCGTCCTTGTATTACTTGGTAATGCTTTCTTTCTATTTTATTTGGACTTGGCCCTTCAGATGTCCCAGTGGGGTCTCAGCATGTTCTACCACTGGCTAATAAATGAGGTGCTCAGTGTAGTGGGAAAGGTGTAGGTTATGAAATCACACAAACTTGTGTTTGTGTCCTAGCTCTAAACCTTTCTCCCTATGTAATGTGGACAATTCACTATTTTTTTTTTTTTTTTGAGATGGAGTCTCGCTTTGTTGCCCAGGCTGGAGTGCAGTGGCGTAATCTTGGCTCACTGCAAGCTCCACTTCCTAGGTTCACGCCATTCTCCTGCCTCAGCCTCCCAAGTGGCCGGGATTACAGGTGCCCACCACCACGCCCGGCTAATTTTTTGTATTTTTAGTAGAGATGGGGTTTCACCATGTTAGCCAGGATGGTCTCAATCTCCTGACCTCGTGACCCACCCGCCTTGGCCTCCCAAAGTGCTGGGATTACAGACATGAGCCACCGCGCCTGGCCAACAATTCACTATTTAACCTTAGCTTCCTTAGCCATAAAATGGGCATAATAATTTCAATCCCCTGGGAATTGTTGTGAGAATTATATGAAATATTCACGTAAATCACCTGCCCCTTTGTCTGAAAGCAGTGGGAGCTCAATCAAGTTGATTCCCTTTCTCTCCTCTGTATGTATGCATGAGTGTATGTGTACAAACATGCGAGTATAGATGTATGCGTGTGTGTATGCATACAAGCATGCATGTATGCATGTTATCCTGATGCCGCTTTTGTGTTCTTTTTCTGTTTTTCTCTCCTGCAAGACATGTACTCTGACAGTTTTCTGTATTTTCTGGTTGTTTCTGAGATTTAAGAAAACAAGCCATTTCTGCAGAAACCCGCAACAAAGGGTAGGTTGATTTACATCAGTATTTGGTCCTACCAACTCTTCCAGAATAGAACTATGTTCCCTTTTTATGCTCTACAACTCTGGAGATAAAGAAACACATGAAAAATAACCCTAGTTCTCAATTCCTTTAGTTATTTTTCCTGGTATCCATTCCCTTAATATTTCCAAATGGTAGGTACTTCTTGATGTATCTATTTAGACACCACTTATTAACTTACACTTAACTATAAGATGAGGAGTTAACTTTTTTCAACTACCCCACACTCCCCTTCACAGTCTATCACAGGTTGGGGTACAAACTACTCAATGTTTTCAGTATTATGACTTTGTAGATGTTCACTGAAGTGAACTAGTAGAGTACTATGATAATTTATTCTTTCTTGAACAATATATTTTCCCCTGGGGTTAATATTTCCTGGAATGAAAAACATTTTCTGTTTAATTTGTTTAATTTTTAATATATCTACTAAAAGTCCTTCCCAGATACAGAGATTTGTTCATCAGATCAAAGCCTCCTATTACCCCACAATTAAATGAATCAGTTAATATACTGCTGGCACACCTCCATTTGTTTTCAGTCTTCCAAAAATGTGTTGATAATTCCCACCCACTGTTTCTTCTTTCTCACTCGTTCATTCCTATGCCATTAAAAAAATTCCTTTATTCATTAACATGTATGTTTCTGAGCAGGACTGTGGGGAGGACTGTGGCTGGAGTGGGCATGTTCAGCTGGCTTCCGGGGTTTGCTCTTCGTGTGGACAACAGTGCTGGTGGCTGAGCTCCACATCGGAGGCCTGGCACAGGTCAATCTGTCTCAATGATAATGCTGTGGGACAAGGCTTTTGCAGTGAACTGAAGTTCTATCCCATTAACTCCCATCTACTTTTTCTCTTGTTATTTAGCATTATGGAGACTATTTACTTTTTGTACTCATTTCCTGTTGCTGCTGCAATAAAAATGACCACAAATTTAGTCTTTTGAAACAACCGCAATTTTTTATCTTATTGTTCTGGAGGTCAGAAGTTTAAAAAGGGTGGGCAGAGCTATGTTTCTTCTGAGTGCTCTAGGACAAATCCGTTTCTTTGGTCTTTCCAGCTTTTGAGGCCACTTATATTCCTCGGCTCATGGCCCCACATCACTCTAACTTCTACTTTTATTGTGACAACTCCTTTCCTGACTCTGATCTTCTGTCTTCCTCTTTCATCTTTTAAGGACCCTTGTGATTACATTGGGTCCACATGGATATCCATTGTCCCATTTGGATAATATGGATAATCCATTGTCCCATTTGAATATACTTAACTTAGTCACACCTGTAAAGTTCCTTCTGCCATGCAAGATAACTTATTCACAGGTTTCCAGGATTGGGATGTGGACATCTTTGGGGGCCATTAATTCTGCTTGCCACAATCTTCTGTACTTTACAAACATTTGAACAAACGTTATGTCTTCTGATATGGTTTGGCTCTGTGTCAAATCTCATCTCTAATTGTAATTGTCATGTGTCGAGGGAGGGACCTGTAATCCCCATGTGTCAGGGGAGGGAAGTGATGGGATCATGGGGGCGATTTACCCTATGCTCTTCTTGTGATGGTGAGTGAGTTCTCTCACGAGATGTGACGGTTTTATAAGCACTGGCATTTCGCTGCTTGCACTCACTCTCTCCTGTAGCATTGTGAAGAAGATGCCTGCTTCCCCTTTTGCCTTCCATCATGATTTTAAGTTCCTTGGGGCCTCCCCTGCAACGCAGAACTGTGAGTCAATTAAACCTTTTTTTTTCTTTATGAATTACCCAGTCTCAGGTATTTCTTTATAGCAGTGTGAAAACTGACTAATAAATCTCCTCTAAAACTTCTTTTTAGGTTATCATAAGAATTGTTTTCACTTGCTTGGTAATTGATGTGGCTTCCAGATTCATCACCATCCTTATTGCCTCCATCTGCTTTTACTCCACTTTACCAATGTCTTTTTTAAGTATCCCAAACTGAACATAGATATGATCAGACTCAGGAAGATTCAATGAAGACAACATTTCCCTGGTTCTGGACACCTGGCTTATAAAACAGCTCAAGAATTCATTATTTTCCTGGGAACATTTTTGACTAATATCGATCTTTTCACCAACTATAATCCCTCAGTTTTTTTTCATGTAAAGTACTGGTGAGGTTTTTCCCATCCTGTATTTCTGTAGGATTGTTAAGTTTTAAAAATATTAATGCGCTATATTCAAGTCCTATTAGGGGTCAGAAACTGGACATTGTTACACTTAGGTAAGCCCAGTGTCAGCTGCCTACATGTCCTCAGTTCTTCAGCTCTCTGGGGTCACATTTTAAATTTAAACAAATTACCATGGGTCCTATCTCAAGAGTGGAGGAACTCACATCTTCCCTCTTAATATGTTCAAGGCTTCTTGGGGAAGTTGGCACTATGACTGGTCATCTCTGGCTAATCATCTATTTCTACTGAGCTCTCAACTCCCAATCTGCATCCTATGTTCCACGCCACTGTCACTTTTTTGCATTTTGTTGTCCTAGGCTGGATACCTCAATTTCTATCTCCACCAAAGTTCTACCAACCCAGGTTTATATATGTAGACTTTTACTGAAGGTCTGAAGTTATGAAAAGAGATAGCATGCAGCTTAGATAGTAACAAAACAAAACAAAAATGAATATTAGACCTCAGAAGTATCTTTATCATTCTTGCCTCTGTGAACTCCTCCCAGGGCCCATTCCTGGCACAGAGCCCAGGTTGACATCAGGCTGGTGGATTCCTCCCCTTCTGCTCTCTCAGGCTTTCAGGGCCAACCTTCCCTTCTTTATTTTCTGCTGCAGAGCCAGGTGTCCTCATTGGAGACTTCACCTTTTTGGGGGTAAAGAAACTATGAAGGTATTTGGCTGAACAGAAATAGCTTTTCTACCTATAAAGCAGGGGCGTACAATCTTTTGTCTTCCCTGGGCAGCATTGGAAGAAGAAAAATTGTCTTGGGCCACACATAAAGTACACTAATGCTGACAGTAGCTGATAAGCTAAAAAAAAAAAAATCACACAAAAAAAATCTCATAATGTTTTAAGAAAGTTTACAAATTTGTGTTGGGCTGTGTGTCAGAAAAGACTTGAGTCTTGCTATAAAGAGTTCCATCCCAGGATTTTAACATAAGAAAAAGGTTCAACCTTTTTTCCATTTATCTCTGTGAAAAATTCATGTCCTTATGCTAGTTTATTATAATTTTTGAAAGGCGATTCCACTGCACAGTGTTTTTGTTCTCACTCTTAGCATTCTCATCTTTTTAAAGCCACAAATTTCATAGATATTTTTCTACATTTTCCTGTAATTATTTAAAATTAAGCGGTTAATTTTAAATAATTAACTAATTTTAAATAAAATAATTAATCTTAAAATAGGATAGAGAATAAAGAGCAATTCTATAAACTTTACTTGGTGTTGGTACTAGTACCTCAATAAAAATTTTGGCAAAAATGCCACTACTTTTGTGGCACAAGGATAGAATGAGAACTTATGCATGTCAAATGCCATGCTGGATTGAAGATATGCTTTGCTGAAGAGATTTTCTCTTAGGATTTGAAGAGATTTTCTCTTAGGACAATTTTATGTTCTTGGTGTTCTCTTTTTCCTTCTAAGATATGTTTTTAACAATAAATTATACATTTTTAAAGATTTTTTTCCCTTTAAAAACAAGGCAATTTAGGCTATTATATTTGTCAGGGATCAGAGATGTTGACTCCCCTGCAATGTAAACTTTCATGAATTAGTTTAAGAATTAAGACTAAGGCCTGGTGCAGTAGCTCGCACCTGTAGTCCCAGTATTTTGGAGGCCAATGCTGGCAGATTGCTTGAGTCCAGGAATTCGAGACCATCCTTGGCCACATGGTGCAACCCCGTCTCTACAAAAAAATACAAAAAAATTAGCTGGTGTGGTGGTGCACCCTGTAGTCTCAGCTATGCAGGAGGCTGAAGTGGGAGGATCACCTGAGTCCAGGAAGTTGAGGGCGCAAGTGAGCTGTGATGGCGCCACTGCACTCTAGCCCGGGTGGCAGAATGAGACCCTGTCTCAAAAAAAAAAAAAAAGAAACTCAAGGCTACTATTTATTGCAAAAAAGAAAAGTGAAGTGCAGTTCATTTTTTGTATCTGTAGCTATAATTTTTATATAACATCAAAGTTTAACTTTCTAATATGACCTGAGTAGCTATTTTATGTGTTCTGTTATTACTTGAATTGCTCACAGGTCTCAGTAAGTTAATACATAAAATATTAAATGCAGATTCAAAATTTGGTCTGCTCTTGACTATGCAGTGGAAATTTATAACATTTTCTTTCATACACCCTAGAATTGAAATGGACATAGCATCTTTAACTCTATGAGAGCTTATAAACTCCTTCGTTACACAGAACTATTAATATATATTTTATATTTATTATATTTTATGAAAATAACATATACATATATTTAAAAACTTCATATTTTACAAAAAGCAATTATTATAAATTATCAGTCTCAAAATAAAGATTACAATGTGTTACTCTGAATTTCCAGCTACATGAATAATCTAGGGTACCTGCAAGGTTTTGCTTCCCACAATGTGCATCCTACAGTTCTTGGACCCACAGAAGTCAGCCTGTATAAGAACTGTGGGATCAAAATCTGACCAAATACCATGAAGCTAAAGATATCGCCCACAAAAGTGGTTTTTCTCTCTTTCACTAAGAAGAGGAAAGGCTGTTTGTGTTTAAGTGCATCGTGGGGGTTAAACTGTGTCCTCCTAAAACCCCCAGTACTCCAGAATGTGACCTTATTTGGAAGTAAGTGAGGTCAGTAAGGTGGTGTATTGGTCAACTGGTATATTCCAATACGACTGGTGTCCTTATAAAAAAGAAGAATTTATTTTTATTTATTTTTTTTCAAGACAAGGTCTCAGTCTGTCACCCAGGCTGGAATGCAGTGATGCCATCACAACTTGACTCACTGCACCCTTGACCTCCTGGGCTGAAGCGATCCTCTTACCTCAGCCTCTGAATAGCTGGAACTAAAGGTGCACGTCACCACACCCAGCTTATTAATTATTATTATTTTTTTTTGGTAGAGGCAGGGTCTCACTATTTTGCCCAGGCTGGTCTCAAACTCCTGGACTCAAGTGGTTCTCCTGCCTTGGCCTCCCAAAGTGCTTGTATTACAGGCATGAGCCACTACGCCTGGCAAAAGGGAAAATTTACACACAGAGACAGACACACACACAGGGAGAATGCCATGTGAACAAGAAGGTAGAGATCAGTGTCATGTGTCTATAATCTAAGGAATGCCAAAGATTGCCAGCAACTCCCTAGAAGATAGAGGACAGGTCTGGGGCAGATCCTTATAGCCCTCAGAAGGAATCAGTCCTCCCAACACTTTGATCTTGGACTGCTAGGTTCTAGAACTGTGAGATAACACATTTCTAAAGCCACCCACTTTGCTAAAATGAAGACTTTATTAATAATTTCTTAACTCCCTGATCTATTTCTAAACTAAAATATGGTGGGAAAACACTTTATTTAGGGGGAAATTTTCTTACTACAGGAAGACCGTTGGTCAATATTAATTAACATATTTTTGTCAAATAAACCATTCCTTTTAAATGCCAAATATCCATCTGGAAAAGATACTTCTGTGTCAGGAAGTCAAATTGACGTTTACCAATGAGTCTTGTGGTTCTTCTTGGAAGAACTGTCTTCTTGTGAATGAACTGAATGTTTATGAATGTGGACCAGATCCAGAAATCAGAAACGAATGCCCTGGGAAGACTGGGGCAGCACCGACTCCCACAATCCGTTCCACCAATTCACCCTACGACACAAACTAAACAGCAAGCAAACAAAATCCTCTTTGGACTCCACATGTTCCCCCCTCTGTTCTGTTGCATAAATAGATTTTTTTATACAAACTATCTATACACACTCTGCCCGCTTCCTCTTCTTCCTTTCATTCTTCAACGTTTTCCAATCTGGCTTTATCCCTGGCATTCAATTGAAACTGCCCTTGCCAAGGGTCTAAGACTCCATGCCAGCAACATTTCCCCCTCATCTTACTCCTCCCATTGGTAGCATTTGGCACTGTTAACCATTTGCTCCTTGCTGGAATGCCTCTCTGGCTTCTGTGATACCATACTCCCCGGGTCTTCACCATATCTTACTGAACATTCCTCTGTCTTTGCTGGCTCTTCCTGCTCTATCTGTTCTTTATTTGTTGTTCCTTTGAGCTTTGCCGTAGGTCCTCCTTTCTTTTCTGTTTCTACTGTCTCCCTGGGCTGTCTCATTCAATCTCATGGATTTAAATATTATATATAGGCTGATGAATTTTCTGAGTTCCAGACTTTTATATCCAACTACCTATCTACTCGACGTCTGTATTTGTAAATGTCATT